>NC_000020.11:3096638-3248153 GCF_000001405.40 Homo sapiens | reverse complement strand
ACCTGAGGATGGGGAAAGGATCCCATCTTCCACCTGGAGCTCTCAGTAGGGACAGGGGACTACTGAAACCCTAGTGCTGCTTACCAGAGTGGGAGCCCCAGAGTCAGGGAATCCTGGCAGAGTCGATTGTGAAAAGTGATTTAGAGCAGATCTCATGTGGAGCTGCTGAAAATCAGAGAGCCCGCCAAGGAACACAGAGAAACACCAGTGTTAATCTCTATCCTACACTCTAGGGAAAAGTTATACCCAAAGAAGACATGACCATGTGACCCACTTCCAGCCCATGACAGAAAGAGATCAGCTTGGTTTCTGCAGGAGTCCAGACTAGTACCAGCTACAGGTCAGCCAGGCGCAGGCACTAGTATGTCATCAGAACCCTCTATCTTCGGTGGCTTCATTCTTCCCCTGCAGCAAGCTTCCCTTACACCACCAGCAGCACCAGGGTCCCATAGGCAAGGATCACATTCTCATCCCTGAATAATTACCATGGTCAGGAGGAATGGAGTTTTCTGATTAGCCTGGCCTTGGGTCTCCATACCAGGCCCATCTGAGAGGTGGGCCCCCCACAGAACGGCTTGCTCCCCTAAACCAGCATTACGCATCTCCCTGCAGTTTCTGAGCTTTTCTGATAAGTCAGACACCTACTTGATTTTTATTATTATTATTTTTTTTTTTGGATACAGTCTCGCTCTGTCGCCCAGGCTGGAGTGCAGCAGCGAGATCTCGGCTCACTGCAACCTCCACCCCCTGGGTTCAAGAGATTCTGCTGCCTCAGCCTCCCGGGTAGCTGGGATTATAGGCACATGCCACCACACCCAACTTTTTTTTTTTTTTTTTGTATTTTTACTAGAGGAGGGGTTTCACTATGTTGAGAAGGCTGGTCTTGAACTCCTGACTTCAAGTGATCCACCAGCCTTAGCCTCCCAAACTGCTGGGATTACAGGCATAAGCCACCACACCTGGCTTTTTTTTTTTTTTTTTTTTTTTTTTTTTTAAGACAGAGTCTCACTCTGTTGTCCAGGCTGGAGTGCAGTGGTGCAATTATAGCTCACTGCAGCCTCAACCTCCTGGGGCTCAGGTAATCTCCCATCTCAGCTTCTTGAGTAGCTAGGACTACATGCATGTGCCACCTCACCCAGCTAACCTACATTTTTTTTTTTAAACAGAGTCTCACTCTGTAGCCTAGGCTATAGATCACAGCTCACTGCAGCCTCAACCTCCCTGGGTTCAGGTCATCCTCCCCACTCAGCCTCCCGAATAGCTGGGACTCCAGGTGCACACCACTATGCTGGGCCAAATTTTGCATTTTTTGTAGAGATGTTATCTATGTTGCCCAGGCAGGTTTCAAACTCTTGGGCTCAAGTCATCCTCCTGCCTTGGCCTCCCAAAGTGCTATGTTACAGGAGTAAGCCACTGCACCCAGCCCATTGTTTGGTTTTATAGTGCCTCAGCACAACCCAGGGATACCAGTGATCATGGGATCCTGTCTGAGAATCTATTTTTCTTAAACAAAAGAAAGGTCAAAAAAAAGAAAAAAGAGAAAAAGACAGGTCATGTAGAGCCAGGCACGGTGCCTCACACCTGTAATCCCAGCACTTTGGGAGGCCAAGGCAGGCGCATCACTTGAGGTCAGGAGTTCTAGACCAGCCTGGCCAACATGGTGAAACCCTGTCTCTACTAAAAATACAAAAATTAGCCGGGCGTGGTGGCAGGTGCCTATAATCCTAGCTACTCGCGGGGGCCGAGGCAGGAGAATCACTTGAACCCGGGAGGCGGAGGTTGCAGTGAGGCGAGATCGTGCCATCACACTCCAGCCTGGGCGACAGAGCGAGGTTTCATCTCAAAAAAAAAAAAAAAAAAAAAAAAAACGCCGGAGGTGGTGGCTCACACCTGTAATCCCAGCACTTTGGGAGGCCAAGGTGGGTGGATCACGAGGTCAGGGGTTCAAGACCAGCCTGACCAACATGGTGAAACCCTGTCTCTACTAAAAATACAAAAATTAGCTGGGCGTGGTGGCGGGCACCTGTAATCCCAGCTCCTCAGGAGGCTGAGGCAGGAGAATTGCTTGAACCTGGGAGGTGGAGGTTGCAGTGAGCCTAGATGGTGCCACTGCCCTCCAGCCTGGGTGGCAGAGCGAGACTCCTTCTCAAAAAAAAAAAAAAAAAAGAAGAAAGAAAGGTCATATAGACTGTGATGTGGGGAATGGGCTGCTGCTCCACGTGGGTGGAGGTGAGAAGTGGACCAACTGGAGAGCCATTTTGAAGGAACAATTGACAAGACCATGACTAACTAGGCAACAGCTAAGGAGATGACCTCGAGGTAAAAGTGGAAAAAGCCCAAGTGGAAAAAACCCAACGTTTTGAAACAAATCCAAATACTTTTTTTGTTTCATCTCTAAAAATTTGATGAAAAATAAATTTGTTTATCCACAAATTATTCCTGTTTTTCCCAGGCCTCTGCATTCCTAAATTGACCAGCTAAAAGAGTTTGGTTTTTTAAAAAATTACATCAGATTCAATAAATTTTATGTCCTACTCATAAATGACTGTAAATCTGTAAAATATATTTATATATATATTAACCAAATAAAGTGTGAATAATTTTCATTTTATCCCACAAATTACTACTGCTTTTCCTGCAGCAATAAAGTGTGATTTTTGTTTTCCTCTCATGACTGGACATGTTTAAGAAACTTTTCATCTCTACTCTGAAATTTCATGCCTGGATGAATGTACAAATAGAGAAATAAGGACAACAGGAACTGGAAAGATGGTTTGATAAGATTATTTCAGTTTGAGACAAAATTCATGGAATTTTCTAGCTACGAAAACTCCATTCCAGCTTATTTGTTTTATAGATAACAACGATCAGAGATCTAAAGAGGCTGGAGGTCTTGCTCCAGGGTGTTGCCCTGGGCCTCCCCACCACCTCTCTCTTCCCTGTGCCTCCAAATTCCTGGGAGGAGTTGGGGCTGGAGAGGAGGGTGACCTGGATGGGGTCTCAGGCCACATCAGCCCCCAATGGTGACATCCAGGCCCCTGAGCAGGATGGGGACCAGCGAGGAGAGCCATGGGTGAGGAAGACATGAGGGACACAGATTGGCCAAGGATGGCCAGGAGGTGACAGTCTACCCAGAGAACCTTAGGGTCACCAGGTAGAATTCTTCCTTGGGTAGCAGGTGATGGGATTTTGATGGAGTAGGGCCTGGGGGTAGGTGAGGGTGGGGAAGGAAGCCAGTGTTTGGTTGTGAGAGGCTGGGCTGTGGAGGGCAGAGAGGCCTGACAGGAGGGCAGTGGGGCAGCCCCAGAATCTTCCTGCCCAGTGGTCTGCTGCATGCCTGCCACAAGACCTTGACAGTCTGTATGCCTGGAATTCATGAGCTCTTAGAATCAGTGAGCCAAGAGCCCTAGCCCACTCCTGCCCATGCTAGCTTTGGACTGTGAGTATGGACTGAGGGGCGGGGCAGACAGATGCCATCCTGAGGGTAGCAGGTCCTTGTTGACCCTCTGCAGGGCAGGGGCTCCTTGCCCTCCTGGATGCCCTTATGTTATAGTAGCCTGGATCTTTCTCTCAGTAGGGGTAGATGGCAACTGAGAGAGGGCTTATTGCTGTGTTTGTTGAGCACCAAAGGGTTGTCCTTCCACCTACCCAAGGGGCCGGGAGATGCCCCCCAGGAAAGAGAGGAGGCCAGTGGAGGCTATGTTCCCCCTCCCAGCACCCTGCAGCATTACCAGGACAACCAGTCTCATGCTGGGCTCCCACGGATAGAAAGCAAAAGCTGACGGGACAGGAAGAGTTATGGCGTGGGGGAAGACAGTCTAAACAAAGATTGAGATCTCTTGAAGCCAGGTGTTCAGGACCAGCCTGGGCAACACAGCAAGGCCGTCTTTTCCAAAAATTTTGAAAATAAAAAAATTAGCCAGGCGTGATGACACCTGCTTGTAGTCTCACCTACTTGGGAGGCTGAAGTGGGAGGATGAGTTGAGCCCAGGAGGTCAAGGCTGCAGTGAGCTATGATTGCGCCACTGTAATCCAGCCTGGGTGACAGAGAAAGACCCTGTCTAAAAAAATTAAAAATATTTGGAGGGGAACAGGAGACTGGCATGATTGTTGGGGTCCAGTTAGACCACCAGGGAGTATCAGGCAGTTGATTCAGTGGGCAGCTGAGCCCAGTCACTTGGCCTGGTTCAGAGCTGGACATAGGGCTCCCATAAATAACTAACCATTACAGATGACAAGTCCTCAATCATAGAGAGAGAGCGTGGGAACAGCACCTCTCCTCCCCAGGAACAGCGAGGAGGCGGAGCAGCTGCAGCTGGAGAAGGGCTACCAGAGGCTGAGAACACCGGTCAAGGCAGCGGGAGCCCCAAGAGGCTGGTAAAATCCCAGTGACTTCAGAGAGAGCGGCTGGCTGCGAGGTATGGGAAGCCATGCCTGCCAAGGGTCCAAGGAAGGCTATGGCAGCCAGGATGCTGCAGACCCGAGGTAGAAATAAAAGGACTCAGCTGAGTGCCGTGGCTCACACCTGTAATCGCAATTTGGGAGGCCGAAGTGCGCAGATTGCGGGAACCTGGGAGGTTGAGGCTGCAGTGAGCAGTGGTCTCACCACTGCACTCCAGCCTGGGCGACACAGCAAGCCCCTGTCTTAATGAATAAATAAATATAAAAAAATAAAAATAAGGCTGGGCACGGTGGCTCACACCTGTAATCCCAGCACTTTGGGAGGCTGAGGTGGGAAGATCGCTTGAGCCCAGGAGCTTGAGACCAGCCTGGGCAACATGGTGAGATCCCCATCTCTACAAAAATTAAAAAAAAAAAAATGCCAGGCACAGTGGCTCATGCCTGTAATCCCAGCACTTTGGGAGGCCGAGGCAGTGGATCACCTCAGGCCAGGAGTTCAAGACCAGCCTAGCCAACATGGCAAAACCCCCTCTACCAAAAATACAAAAATTAGCCAGGCATGGCAGGCGGATCATGAGGTCAGGAAATTGAGACCATCCTGGCTAACAGGGTGAAATCCCATCTCTACTAAAAGTACAAAAAATTAGCCGGGCATGGTGGCTGGTGCCTGTAGTCCCAGCTACTCGGGAGGCTGAGGCAGGAGAATGGCGTGAACCCAGGAGGTGGAGCTTGCAGTGAGCCGAGATGGCGCCGCTGCACTCCAGCCTGGGCAACAGTGCAAAACTGTTTCAAAAAAAAAAAAAAAAAAAAAATTAGCCAGGCATGGTGGTGCATGACTGTAATCCCAGCTCCTGGGGAGGCTGAGGCGGGAGAATCACTTGAACCTGGGAGACGGAGGTTGCAGTAAGCCAAGATTGCATCGCTGCACTCCAGCCTGTGAGACAGAGTGAGACCCCATTTCTCTCAAAAAAAAAAAAAAAAAAAATTAGCCAGGCACAGTGGTGCACACCTGTAGTCCCAGCTGATGTGGGAGGATCGCCTGAGGCCAGGAGATCGAGGCTACAGTGAGCCGTGTTTGTGCCACTGCACTCCAGCCTGGGTGGCAGAGTGAGACTCTGCCTCAACAAAATAAAAATCAAAGAAATAAAATGACTCAGTGAAATGTGGCCATCCAGGGTGAGAGGAAGGAGGCAGAGGGGAGTCGGGAGTATCTGGCTGGGATGCCCATTAGGCTAGACCAGAAAGCCTGAGTGGAATGGAGGATGGAGGATGGAGAAGAGAGCTTCGGGAGGGCGTCATAGGCCTGAAATGCCTCCATGGAGATATCTGCCTTTAACATTCCTTTGGGTTTTTTGTTTGTTTTGAGATGGGTGGGTCTCCCTATGTTGCCCAAGCTGGTCTCAACACTCCTGGGCTCAAGGGATCCTCCCATCTCATCCTCCCTAGTAGCTGGGATTATAGGTATGTGCCACCGCACCTGGTTTACTTTTTGTTTTTTGTTTTGTTTTGTTTGTTTGTTTTTGAGATGGAGTCTCAGCAGTTTCAGTGGTGTGGTGGGGACAAAAGACAGGTATGAGTCGGTTGAAGAGACATAGCGGGAGGGGCATGGAGCTCTGGAGAAACTTCCTCTTAAATGTAGCTGAGGGATAAGGCAGCACCCGGAGGGCAAGGGGCTTTAAGGGAAATTTTTTTTTTTTTTTTTTTGAGATGGAGTCTCGCTCCGTCGCCTGGGCTGGAGTGCAGTGGCACGATCTCGGATCACTGCAACTTCCACCTGCCGGGTTCAAGCAACTCTCCTGCCTCAGCTTCCCGAGTAGCTGGGACTACAGGCATGCGCCTCTATGCCCAGCTAATTTTTTTGTATTTTTAGTAGAGAGGGGGTTTTAGCATGTTGGTTTGCCAGGATGATCTCCATCTCTGGACTTTGTGATCTGCCCACTTCGGCCTCCCAAAGTGCTGGGATTACAGGCGTGAGCCACCGCGCCCGGCCGGGGAATGTTTTGTTTTTAAAATGAGCCCTTTTTTTTTTGAGATAGGGTTTCTCTCTGTCACCACGGCTGGAGTGCAGTGATGCAGTCTTGGCTCACTGCAGCCTTGACCTCCCTGGCTCAAACAATTCTCCCACACCAGCCTGCTGAGTGGCTGGGACCACAGGCGTATGCCACCATGCCTGGCTAAGTTTTTGTAATTTTAGTAGAGACGGGGTTTCACCGTGTTGCCCAGGCTGGTCTCGAATTCCTGAGCTTGAGCAATCCTCTCACTTCTGCCTCCCGAAGTGCTGGGATTACAGGTGTGAGCCACCAAGCCCGGCCTAAAAATGAGATGTTATACATTTACTTCAGACCCCAGATTCTACAATCCACAGGCAAGATAAGTGGCATCAGGGGAGGACAGCAGAAAACTGTTAAGTGCGCCTTGTGGAACCCAGCGGTTACAGTTTCAAGTCCACAGCCCAGTAAAGTCTGAGACCCCAAGGGAGGGAATGAGAGGGAAAGTGGGTGCCTGCGTCTGGGTCCCTCAACCTGCCTGCCTATGTAAGGACCCAGTGGGGCACAGGACAGGAGATCTGGGGCACCAGTATTTGCCTTCAGCGTCAGACGATCTACACAGGACAGGAGGCAGGTGGGAGGACTGAAGGAAACAGCCTCTGAAACGGTCAGTCTGGAGGCAGCAGGCGTGTGGGCCTCAGGGGTTCCCTCCAGGAAGGCCGAGGGAACAGAACCGCAGGGGCAGAGCACAGGTGTAGCAGAGAAGGGCTCAGTGCCAGTTCCTTTGAGAGACGGTCAGGGAGCGGACAGAGGGGGCCCATAGCCGACTAGGGGCGGCTTGGTCATGGGCTCCTCTTTCCTCAGTGGGCTGAGGGGTTAGGTCCTTTGAGGAGCGCTGAGGAGACTGTGGTAAGGGGAAGCGCCCTCCATCCCAGAGGCTTTCCTGGAACAAGTGGGTTGGAAGGACCAGGTGTTTGGGAGCTGCTGGGAGCAGGTGCAGAAGCCAAGGCATTCCCAGATGGGGGAGACTGGGGGTGGCAAGGTGGCTTTTCAGGGATCCAGCCTGCATGCCACCTATGCAGCCATGCTCCGGGGGCGACATCCGCCTGTGTCCTTCAGCTCTTCCTCAGCCTCCACCCGCCACCCGGGAGTCAGTGCCTGGACTGGAGCTCTAGCTGGAGGGCGTCTAGGAAAGGTCCCAAGGGGTGCGCAGGATGACCTGGTGTCTCTCCAGAGTCACCCCTGCTAAAATACTATGTGGCCAGCCCCAAGTCAGTTGCAGGTCATGGTGTTGGGATCTTCCACAAGGCCTCCTGGAGTCGCGCTGGGGGAGGGTGGGGTACTCAGTCTGTCGCAGAGCCCCAGGCCATCCGTCGCCAAGAGGAGCACTCCAGCGCTTCCCTCCTAATGCGTTCTTATCTTGCCGGGAGGAGAACTGGGCCAGCCTTACTCACCCAATCTATGCATGAGGCTTCCCCAACGCGCCAGAAGCCCTTCCTTCGCAGAGGTGGGCTTGCCCCGGCCTGTCCCCGTTCCTCTACCATGGTTAGGGCACAGTGGCCGAGGACTCCGTCCCAGCGCGGCTGAGCCGGAAAGCGATGGCGGCCGGAGGGGTCGGGAGGTTGGTTAGCGCTTTACGGAGCTGCGTGTTCCGTTTCCAAGGGCTGTAGAGCCTTCTACTGGGAGCCACCGTGGATCAGGCCAGGGGTTCGTCAGCTGCATTTGCCGGATCGCATCGCAGCACGCGCACCCACACGCGCACACGCCCTACTCGCAGGAGACTAAGCGCCCCGAAAAGGCGCGTCCCCGGGCGGGTCGCAGCCGGTCCAGGAAAGGGGACAGGGCGCAAGGGCCATTTGGGGAAGGAAAAAGGGGGCGAACCATGACCTTGACCTCATAGAAGGCCGAGGACGTGAAGAGGCTGGCAGATAAGTTGGCGAGGCTCGCAGCGAAAACCCAAAGCAGCCGAGCTCGGAGAGCGCCGTCTCAGCGGGCGAGGGCGTAGCCCGGGGAATGCACGGAGGTCCGTCTAGTCAGTCGGGGCGCGCTTCCTGGAGGAGGAGGAGAAGGACTTGCGGCCGGAGCTACCGGGATAAATGCAGGAGGCGGGGCAGCCAGCGGGCGTGGCCCTGCGGAGGTCCCCGGTCGAAAGGAGGAGACAGGGGCCGGCCGCGTACTTAAAGCGGACGCGGGGGAAGCCCTCCCGGGGTCTGCCTCAGTCGCACAGCTCGGTGGGCTCGTGGCGCAGTCGAACGTTTTCCCAGAAGCTCCCCGGCCCCGTCCAGCCCCTAAACTCGCGACGCTGGGTCTGCTGGGTCCGGCGCGCACAGGCTCGAAGGAGCCGGGTCTACTCGGTTTGGCCCAGCAGCTGCGGGCGGCGGGGAGCAGCCCAGCCCGGCTGGAGCAGCCTCCCGCGGGTGAGGGCGCGGGGCGGGCGGCCGGGTCCCAGCCCTCGGCAGCTCTGCCTACCGCGCCCGGGCGCGGCGTCTGAGCGGCATTAGGACCCAGGCGCGGCGTGGGGGTGTGTCGCCGGCTCCCGCCGCCGGCCCGCCCGAGTCGCCGAGTTTGGGGTCCAGAAGCGCCGGAGCGCCGCGTGAGGAGCCCGGCCGTGAGTGCGCGAGTGTGCCATGGCCGCGGCCACCAGGCGCGTGTTCCATCTGCAGCCGTGCGGTGGGTGCCTGAACCCGGGGGCGCGGCGGGAAGGCCGCCCGGGTCTCCGCCACCGTCTCCCGTCGGGGACCCCGGGGAGAACGCGGATGCCGTCTGCCTGCGCGGGCCGGGGCCGGTGGGCGAGAGGGCTGCGGGATTCCCAGCCGCGGGGAGGAGGGCGCGGGTGCGGGAGGCCCGGGCGCGGCTTCGCGGCCACCGCGCGCTTGGTTTCATTAGGGCTCTGCTGTCGCCGTCTTGAATTTCTTACCAGGTTTGAACAGCTGATGCAGCGGGTCGAGGGCGGGGAGCTCGAAAGTGGGCAGGGCGGAGCTGTGGGGCTCCCAGCGCCCCGAGCGCCGAGCTTTTGGGAGCCTGGCGGGCCGCCGCCTCGGAAGGTCTCATTTTACCTTCCGCCCGGGCATCTTCCCGTCCGGCGCCGCGGTGGGAGCCCCGGAACCCCTGGAGTTTTGGGAGTCCCGGGACCCCTGACCGTGCCCTGCGCGGCCGCAGCGGTTTCTCCCTTGCTCTGACACGGGAGGGCCAGCCCTGGGTCCCCGCCAGGACCCAGGTTTGTACGACCCTTTACCTGCACGTGGGCCGCCGGGACGGAAGCGGAGTGTGCACCGGCCCAACCCTCCCAGACCCTCGTCGCCCACGGCCTGGGACGCGCCCCAGCGCCCCCGCCCCCCACTTCAGGATGCAGCCCCGGCTCCCGCCCCGCGCCTGCATTCACATCCTGCGCCCCGACCCCCGGGGTCTCCGAGTCTGGAGGCGCTTTCCTCTCGTGCACGCGGCCCCTCCTGTCGCTTCCTTCCTCCGACAGCGAGGCACAAACAGCCGGGACCATCCGGGGACCGGCCCAGGGAGGGCGCAGCCTCCCCCGACCCATGTGTCCCTCAGATACTCCTCCCACCCCCAATTGTTCTCCCTTTTGGACCAACGGCTCTGGCTTCCAGGCGGCCGGGACGCGGTCCCAGGACTGGAGACCGTTGCCTGTCGGCCCCCGTGTGACCCGGGGCGCGTGACGGGGGTCGGGGGAACTGCGCCTGCAATGGGCGTTTATGGCCCCCAGGACCGGTCTGAGAGTGAGAAGAGGGATGTGCAGAGAGATCCCCCGCCTTGGCATCCGAGGAGAGAGGGGGAGAGGCCCGCTCGGGCCCGGTCCCTTCCTCTCGCTGCAGCGGGGCAGGGTTTTCTCAGGAAAACCTGGATTAGCGAACATGGTACTGGTACTAACTCGGTGGGAAGACATCCCTGGAACGTCTCTCCTCCTCGCCTCTGGCCCGCCTGGGCAGCCCCTAGCAGATGGGCTAAGCAATTGAATTTCTGAGATTAAGGCTGGCTTCCCCTGCTATGGGGCCCCCTCCCGAGCACTGTCCCCTGCTTCCCTTTCTCCCTAGGGTGGCGTGGGTTGCATCCCTCGGAAGAGCGAAGGAATGAGCCAGGTCGGGGGGCGGGGAGACAGGTGCACACAGGAGGTCCAGGGCTTGGTCCATGGGGCTGGTGACCTTTCTGCTTCCCTTGCAGAAAACTCTCCCACCATGTCGCAGAATGGATACTTCGAGGATTCAAGTGAGTACCTCTCGGGGAGTGTGTGTGTGCAGAGAGAGCTTGTCGGGCAAAAGCCTCCAGGGTGCATAGCCTACCCACCAGAGTCCTGTGGCTTTGCTCGCCTATCTGGGCCACTCTAGTGCTGGAATGCTTTTGGCTTCCACTCTTCGGGAAGCTAGACATGGGCGGATCCCCCGTGGACCTGAGAGGGCAGGCTGCCCATTCTCCTGGGCTACTTGGACCAGGTGAACCCTCTGGGATTCTTACCCAAGGTTTTCTGTGACAATGGCCTGTTATCTGACTAGCCTTGGGCCAAGAATTCTGTGTGCCCCTGTCCCTCTGTCCTCACCCAGCCCTGGAGGGAATATCTGTCGTTGTCTCTTTAAAGAAATATAAGGCCTCTGTGCTGCAGTCCCTCGGGCACCTTCCTGCTGTCCCTGCTTGTACCAGTCCAGCTGTCTTCCTCCTCATGTCTCTGGGCTGGCTTCAGGCTGTGTCCTGTGCCTAGCCCCATGAGTGACCTGACCATTCGAGGGTTGTTTGTAGAGCAGTGCGTAGACACAGGGCTGATGTTCCCTTACCCAGAGCCCTCAGGACATGGGGCTCTGTGTGCTAGGCTGCTGGTGGGCAGGTTACGTATGGGGCTGGGACTAGGACTTGGCATTGCAGGAGCCCCCCAGGAACCTGGTAGTGTCAGCTGGGCAGGTCCTTAATCTAGGGGACCTGAGCACTAAGTCTAAGGTAGAGCTGAGGGCATCAGGGGAAGAATGGGGGAAGAACGGGGCTGTGTGAAGGGCAGTGGAGGGGACTAGTGGGTGCTGGTTGAGGGGCAGAGGGGAGGCTGGGACAAGTTCGGGCCAGGGGAACCAGACAGTTTAAACAAGGCAAGCCTGACCCGGGGAGGAAGGAGTTTATCATGAGCTCCAGAACCAAAGCAGTGAGGACGTCTTTTGTTTTGTTTTGTTTTGTTTTGTTTTGTTTTGAGTCTCGCTCTGTCGCCCAGGCTGGAGTGCAGTGGTGTGATCTCGGCTCACTGCAAGCTCTGCCTCCTGGGTTCACACCAGCCTCCTGCCTCAGCCTCCCGAGTAGCTGGGACTACAGGCGCCCGCCACCACACCCGGCTAATTTCTTTTTGTATTTTTAGTAGAGACAGGGTTTCACCATGTTAGCCATTGTTAGCCAGGATGGTCTCGATCTCCTGACCTCGTGATCCGCCTGCCTTGGCCTCCCAAAGGCAAGGATGTCTTTTGACCTAATATTTCTTCTCTGGGCTCTGGAGGTAGTGCAGGCCTGGGCCTGGGAGTCACCAGTCCCTGGGGACTTTGATGCAGGAGGCACTAGGGCTTCCTACCCAGAAGGGGCCCAGGCTAAACTCAGGACACTGGGGGAACAGGGCCTGGGATGTGCCAAGGAAACTGGCGGCGGGAGTAGAAGTGAGTCAGGGTGAGTCACTCCCTGGCAGGTGCAGGCGTGCTGCTGACCCATCCTTGTTTCTGCACAGGTGTCTGTCAGGCATCAGTGGGGTCTGGGCTATAAGGGCCCCTTTCCTGGGAGTACCTACAAGTGAGGAACCTTAGGGGACCCACAAGACAGGAAGGGCTGCCAGTGGCCAGGGGTGAGGCAGGGATCTAGGAGGACTTCCTGGAGGAGGAGGTTCCAAGTGAGTCTTGAAAAAGGCCCTCCAGGGAGGGAAGCCCTCAGCTTGGAGGACAGGACCTTGCATGCCTAGGGTGCTGACCGGATGGCCTGAGGAGCCAGTGGTCAGGGCAGGGGGAGCAGGGCTGGCTCAGGCTGTGATCTGTAGGCTGCAGGGAGCCACTGCAGGGCTCAGGGCAGAGGAATATTTGCATGTTACCAGGAAATCTTCCTGTAGGAAGAGGGGTGTGCTGCTGGCCAGCTGCAGGAATTGAGGACCAAGGGGAGCAGGCTCTCACCTCTGGGGTCCCACATCCCACAGGTGCCATTACACACCCTCACTCTCCATGTGCCCTTACCCAGGGCCCCCAGAACATGAAGAGGAGCACGATGGGGGCAGGGCTGACATGAGGCCTTGGGGTCCTCTCCCCTGTCAGCCCCTGGCTCTGTTTCCCTGGTTTTCCTGCTCCCTAGACCTTGTCTGATACCTGTCCTGGGTCTCTCAGCCTCGATGCTTCTCCCCACCTGCCCTCCTGGGGAGGCGGAGCTCTAAGACCCTGTGCCCACAAGGCAGCGTGTGTGTGTGTGTGTGTGTGTGTGTGTGTGTGTGTGTGTGTGTGAGAGAGAGAGAGAGAGAGAGAGAGAGAGACGTGGATACTGCAGCTTCTCTGCCTTCCCTGTGTTCCCTACTTTGGGAGGGCAGGGGCCAGGCAGTCTCATCTGCATTATTGCACTCCGTGCCTGCCCCAATGTGTCTGGAGTGGACATGTTTTTCTCACGCTGAAGGGTCAAAGCTGCGCAGGGTCCTGGTCTCAGCGGCTAGGGAATGCTGGAGACTCACTTTGTGGCAGCTGCCATGTCCTGTGTGGGGCTGGGGCAGGACTAGAAGCTGCCTTCCTCGCCTATGGGATGGCCTCTCCCACCACGGCCCGAGAGTGGGACAGTCCAGGGGTCCCTGCTCCCTGGGCTTGGAGCCCCTCCTTCCTGTGTGTGGCACTTTAACAGCCAGGCCCTCTTGCTCTTGGGGGTCTCTAGGCTACTACAAGTGTGACACAGATGACACCTTCGAAGCCCGAGAGGAGATCCTGGGGGATGAGGCCTTCGACACTGCCAACTCCTCCATCGTGTCTGGCGAGAGTATCCGTTTTTTTGTCAATGTCAACCTTGAGATGCAGGCCACCAACACTGGTATGGGGGCTGCAGCAGGGGCAGACTGGGGGAAGGCACGGGACTGGGCAGGTGTGACTCGCCTTACTAAGAAAGACCTGAGGAGAGGGTGGCACCCTGAGCCCTCCCCGCTTTTCTCCGGCAGAGAATGAAGCGACTTCCGGTGGCTGTGTGCTCCTGCACACCTCCCGAAAGGTGAATGGCCTGTCCTGCAGGTGGTCCTGGGGCCTCTACCTGGGGGCTGAGGTGATGGCTTCCCTGAGAATCCTCCCGCTGCTCCCCTCTTCCCATGCCTCCAGGAGCAGCTCAACAGGGAGCTCGCACCAGCCCAGGGCTGGGGGCTGGGGGCTGGGGGCTGGACTGCTGCGGCTGGCTGGGAGGGAGGGACCAGGCAGTGACAGCATCTCATACATGGGCCCGTGTGGTTCTGTCCCTGGGGTCCCCTCAGTACCTGAAGTTAAAGAACTTCAAGGAAGAGATCCGTGCGCACCGCGACCTAGATGGCTTCCTGGCGCAGGCCAGCATCGTCCTGAACGAGACGGCCACCTCCCTGGATAACGTGCTGCGGACCATGCTTCGCCGCTTCGCCAGGGACCCTGACAACAATGAGCCCAACTGCAACCTGGACCTGCTCATGGCCATGCTCTTCACCGATGCCGGGGCACCCATGCGGGGTAAAGGTGAGGCCGGTCTCCCGGCCCGGGCGGGGGCGTTGGGAGGGGCTGTTGACCCACCACCCTCCCCCTCACTCTTTCCTCAGTCCACCTGCTGTCAGATACCATCCAAGGGGTCACCGCCACAGTGACAGGGGTGCGGTACCAGCAGTCGTGGCTCTGCATCATGTGAGTTGCCAGGCCACTTGGCCCCCCTTCTTGTCGCAGTGGAACTGGGTGTCCCATGTCCCCTGTGCCCTGCAGAGGCCAGCCCACCTGTGAGTCCTGGGGCTCTGGCGGCCCAACCAACTTGGGAGAAGAGGGCTGGAGCACTGCCAAGGAACGTCCCATTTGCTCTTCTTTTCCCTCCCTAGCAGAGGTCGCCAGGGGTCAAGGTCGAGGGGGTTCTGGGTCGGGGAGCCCCAGCTCCCTGGGGTGCAACTGTGCACTGTGTCCTCCCCGCCCCTGCCAGCTGTACCATGAAGGCCCTACAGAAGCGGCACGTGTGCATCAGCCGCCTGGTTCGCCCACAGAACTGGGGGGAGAATTCCTGTGAGGTTCGGTTCGTCATCCTGGTGCTGGCCCCACCCAAGATGGTGAGTGGGTAGTGCCGTGTCCTGGGGAAGAAGGAGGGCCCCGGGTTACCCGCCCTCTGCTTGGGGTCCCCTCCCACATGTCCTGGCCTCTGAAGGCCTGGTCCTCACCCTCCCCTTCGCCTCGGCCCTGTGGGTGTGTCAGAAACATGTTGCTAGGCCCGGCAAGTCCTCATGTCCCCGGGGATTGCCGAAAAGTTCGTATTTCCTTGACTGAAAGGAAACGCTTTTGACCACTATCCCTATTCAAACACGCGGCCTTCTCTGGCCTGCCCGCCCGCCAGCCCTTCTTTGACTTGGTTGACTTTGCGATTTGCTAGCTGAGGGTCCCTGCTCCTTCCTGGGCCACACACCCCCTGGCCGGGACACCATGCTTTTTGTGGGAGCCGGAACTGATACAATTTCGGGAGTCTTTTAAGGAAAAGGATTTAACAAGTCTCAACAGATGATTGCCAGGACCCCTCCCAAGGCCTTGGCAGCGCCTTCAGCTTCAGCTTCCCTTAGCTTCTTGTGCTCCTGCCCCTGGCCTTCTGTGTGCAAATGGGGTTCTCAGGGATCTCAGACATGGCGGGAACCTCCACAAATGCAACTGTGCTGGTGTGAGAGGAAGGGCAGCCCCTGGGTTGGAAGGAGTGGCCCCCAGCAGGGTGCCCACACAGAAGGAGCAATAGCCCAGAGCTGAGTTAAAGCCTGGTGCCTTGAGGCAGATCCCCCAGCCCGACACTGGGCTCCTCCTCAGGAGCATGGACTAGTTCTTTTGGGGTTTTGTATTTGTTTATTTGTTTGTTTTATTTATTTATCTTTGAGACAGAGTCTCACTCTGTCACCCAGGCTGGAATGTTGAGGTGTGATCTCAGCTCACTGCAACCTCTGCCTCCCAGGTTCAAGCGATTCTCCCGCCTCAGCCTCCCAAGTAGCTGTGACTACAGGCACCCGCCACCACCAAAAACTACAGCCAGCTAATTATTTTGTATTTTTAGTAGAGATGGGGTTTCACCATGTTGGCCAGGCTGGTCTTGAACTCTTGACCTCAAGTGATCTGCCTGCCTTAGCCTCCCAAAAAAGTTGGTATTATGGGCGTGAGCCACCATGCCCTGCCAGGCACGGGCCTCTTCTACAGCAAACATGCACAGTGCCCCGGGACTAGAGCTTTGAGCAACAGACGGGCAGACACTGCCCCTAGGTGAGCAGGTTGCTGTGATGAGGGCTGGACACTGAGTTCGTGAGTTCATGGTTCACGGACGGGCTTCACCTTGGCCGGGCGAGAGAGAGAGTGCCTGACGGGCTTGGACCCTCTCTGAAAGTCAAACCAGCAGACAGTGCAAATACCACTGGGGAAACGTAGCTGGGGAAACATTTTTCTCCACTGTGGTTTCATTATCTGTGATCACACAGACTTTTGTTGCTTAGGACAAAAGTAATATCTTGAGTTTATAAGAAATCATGAGTTTATAACAAAAATATAGATCGATGGTAGTTGCGGTGATCTGCTGACCTGGTTGAAATCATGGCAGAGTACACTAATGCCTGAACTTTGTGGAATAAAACCTGCTACCAGCATCTGGGCACAGTGGCTCGTGCCTGTAATCCCAGCACTTTGGGAGGCCTAGACAGATGGATTGCTTGAGGCCAGGAGTTTGAGACCAGCCTGGTCAACATAGTGAGACCTCGTCTCTACAAAAAGTTAAAAATTAAAAATTGCCTGGCATGGTGGTGCGTGCCTGTGGTCCCAGCTACTCAGGGGACTGATGTGGGAGAATCACTTGAGCCCGGGAGGTCGAGGCTACGATAAGCCGTGAGTGTGCCACTGCACTCAGCCTGGGTGACAGTGAGACCCTGTCTCAAAAAAACACAAAAAACAAACAGACAAAAAACCTGCTGCCAGTTCATGGGGAGAGCACCTTCACCTGCTCGGCCCGGGCAGGGCCTCCTCTGTTTCTAGGGGTGACTCCCATCCTCCACCCCTAGAAAAGCACTAAGACTGCGATGGAGGTGGCGCGCACGTTTGCCACCATGTTCTCGGATATCGCCTTCCGCCAGAAGCTCCTGGAGACCCGCACAGAGGAGGAATTCAAGGAGGCCTTGGTGCATCAGAGACAGCTGCTCACCATGGTGAGCCACGGTCCAGTGGCGCCGAGAACGAAGGAACGCAGCACAGTCTCCCTCCCTGCCCACAGACACCCAGAGGTACAGGGTAGAGGCCGGCGGGGGCCGGCAGGGTCGGCGGGGGCATGGGCCGGACAGGGCTAACAGGCGCTCTGTCCTCTCCTCCAGCCCCCAAAGTGCAAGGACTTTGTCCCTTTTGGGAAGGGCATCCGGGAGGACATCGCACGCAGGTTCCCCTTGTACCCCTTGGACTTCACTGATGGTACGTGGCCTCTGCTTTCCAGGCCTTGGGCCCACACGTGTGCCTGTCCTGCATCCCCAGCAAACCCTCTCTCCCATCCCCCATTCCTAGGCATTATTGGGAAAAACAAGGCTGTGGGCAAATACATCACCACCACCCTGTTCCTCTACTTCGCCTGCCTCCTGCCCACCATCGCTTTCGGGTCTCTCAATGACGAGAACACAGACGGGGCCATCGGTGAGGGGCTGGCGGTGGGCGGTGGGTGGGGGTATGCTGGGCTGGGCCCTGGGCTGCGGCGCCCACCTGACCTCCGCACCCCCACAGACGTGCAGAAGACCATAGCCGGGCAGAGCATCGGGGGCCTGCTCTACGCGCTCTTCTCTGGGCAGCCATTGGTGATTCTGCTGACCACCGCGCCCCTGGCGCTCTACATCCAGGGTGCAGTGGGGGCTGAGGCGGGAGATGGTGCCTGAGACCCCTGGTTCCTGCCGGGCCCTGACCCGCCCTGCCCCCTGCCTGCAGTGATTCGTGTCATCTGTGATGACTATGACCTGGACTTCAACTCCTTCTACGCATGGACGGGCCTGTGGAATAGTTTCTTCCTTGCGCTTTATGCCTTTTTCAACCTCAGCCTGGTCATGAGTCTCTTCAAGAGGTGACTGGCCCTTCCGTGAGCTGCTGGGACCCTCAAGGCTTGGGATCTGGTTCAGCCCCCTGTAACCCCAGGGTGGTGGGGGTGCCCCCACCATATTGCTGCCCCAAGGGGCTGGGGTGGGCTCAGGCAAGGCCTGGGGCCCTGGCCTTCTTCCTGGCAGGGGGAGGCAGGGGACTGTGCAGGGGCTCAGGGAGGCCTCCCCCACCTGCCCCCTGACCACACCCACTCTGATGAGGCTCATGGCCTCCTGGCAGGTCGACGGAGGAGATCATCGCCCTCTTCATTTCCATCACGTTTGTGCTGGATGCCGTCAAGGGCACGGTTAAAAGTGAGTGCGGCTGGGGGCCACCTGCTGAACAGGGCGCTCAGCCGAGATGGGAGGTTCTGCACTGCCCCTGGCTGGGGGCACATAGGACTGGCTCAAGCTGAGTGTGTGCCCGTGATCAAGGGTGCGGTGCTCTGGGAGCCTTGGGCTGGCAGAGGGCAGAGCCCTCCACGCTGGAGGGTGACGGGGCCGCCCCAGGTGGGACCAGCCGTGGGGGCAGAGGCACTGGGCCGACTGTGATGGGGTGTCAGAGATGGGACAGGGACAGTGGGCAGGAGTGTGGGTGCATGGGCACGTCGGCAGGGTCCCCTCACCTTCCCCCTGGAGCCCTTTCTCCCTGAGATCCCCTCCCTCCAGGGCCTCCCCCTGCCACACGCTGGAGAGGGCTGAGGCCTGTGGGTGTGTGTCCACAGTCTTCTGGAAGTACTACTATGGGCATTACTTGGACGACTATCACACAAAAAGGACTTCATCCCTTGTCAGCCTGTCAGGCCTCGGCGCCAGCCTCAACGCCAGCCTCCACACTGCCCTCAACGCCAGCTTCCTCGCCAGCCCCACGGAGCTGCCCTCGGCCACACACTCAGGCCAGGCGACCGCCGTGCTCAGCCTCCTCATCATGCTGGGCACGCTCTGGCTGGGCTACACCCTCTACCAATTCAAGAAGAGGTGAGGGGCTGCATGGGGAGGGGAGGGGCCGCATGGGTCAAAGGCTGTGCTCATGCACCTGCTGTCCCCAGCCCCTACCTGCACCCCTGCGTGCGAGAGATCCTGTCCGACTGCGCCCTGCCCATCGCGGTGCTCGCCTTCTCCCTCATCAGCTCCCATGGCTTCCGGGAAATCGAGAGTGAGTTGGGGCCGGGCGGTGGGTGACGTGGGGTAGCTCCCCAGGCGCTGCAGGCATAGCAGTAGCCTGTCCCCTACTGCAGTGAGCAAGTTCCGCTACAACCCCAGCGAGAGCCCCTTTGCGATGGCGCAGATCCAGTCGCTGTCCCTGAGGGCCGTCAGCGGTGCCATGGGCCTCGGCTTCCTGCTGTCCATGCTCTTCTTCATCGAGCAGAACTTGGTGGCCGCCTTGGTGAATGCACCGGAGAACAGGTGTGGAGGGTGGGTGAGGGTGGGGTGGGCGGGGCCCGGGCCTCTGCTGTGGGGCTCTGTCCACGAGTGCCCGTCTGCTGCAGGCTGGTGAAGGGCACTGCCTACCACTGGGACCTCCTGCTCCTCGCCATCATCAACACAGGGCTGTCTCTGTTTGGGCTGCCTTGGATCCATGCCGCCTACCCCCACTCCCCGCTGCACGTGCGAGCCCTGGCCTTAGTGGAGGAGCGTGTGGAGAACGGACACATCTATGACACGTGAGTGTGAGGCTGGCAAGAGCCGTGGACCCTGAGGAGTGGGGAGCCTCTGGCCACATGGGACATAGGGAGGAGTGAGGCCCTGTGGACAGGGGCGCAGAGGTGACACTCGCGGCTCGGGCCACCGCAGGATTGTGAACGTGAAGGAGACGCGGCTGACCTCGCTGGGCGCCAGCGTCCTGGTGGGCCTGTCCCTGTTGCTGCTGCCGGTCCCGCTTCAGTGGATCCCCAAGCCCGTGCTCTATGGCCTCTTCCTCTACATCGCGCTCACCTCCCTCGATGGCAACCAGCTCGTCCAGCGCGTGGCCCTGCTGCTCAAGGAGCAGGTGAGCGCTTGGCCCTGCGAGGGAGTGGCGTGGGTGGGGACACAGCCCCATGCCTGCCCACACCCGGTCCCTGCCGCCCACAGACTGCGTACCCCCCGACACACTACATCCGGAGGGTGCCCCAGAGGAAGATCCACTACTTCACGGGCCTGCAGGTGCTTCAGCTGCTGCTGCTGTGTGCCTTCGGCATGAGCTCCCTGCCCTACATGAAGATGATCTTTCCCCTCATCATGATCGCCATGATCCCCATCCGGTACAGGCGGGTGGGCAGTGGGCAGGAGGGGCCCAGTCTAGGTGTGGAGAATGGGCGGGCTGGGGCAGCGGCTGGGAGGAGGGGTCCCACCTAGGGGCGGAGAATGGGCGGGTTGGGGTGGGTGCCCAGGAGGAGGGGTCCTGCCTAGGGGTGGAGAGTGGGCGGGCTGGGGAGGCTGGCGGGCAGGAGGAGCCCAGCCTAGAGGTGGAGAGTGGGCGGGCTGGGGTGGGTGGTGGGCAGGAGGGGCTCCAGTCTAGGAGTGGAGAGTGGGTGGGCTGGGGGTAGGCGGGCGGGGAGGAGAGGCCTAGCCTGGCCCTGTGGGTGGGCTGGGGTGGGCTGGGATGGGTGTCCACTGCCTTCTCTCTGACCCAGGCTCATCCTCCTGTCCCTCCCTCCCCACAGCTATATCCTGCTGCCCCGAATCATTGAAGCCAAGTACTTGGATGTCATGGACGCTGAGCACAGGCCTTGACTGGCAGACCCTGCCCACGCCCCATTCGCCAGCCCTCCACGTCCTCCCAGGCTGGCTCTGGAGCTGTGAGGGGAGGTGTAGGTGTGTGGGTGACTGCTCTGTGCTGCGCCTTCTCATGGCTGACTCAGGCCTGGGGCATCTGGGCATTGTAGGGGTGCAGTGGTATGTGCCCACCCCTCTCCCATTATCCTTTAGCTTTAGGCCAAGAGCGTTGCTCAGGGCAGCTTCTGCCCAGGGTGGGTGGGACTGAGCAGGATGGATTTTCTTTTGATAAAAGAGTCGATGCCTGAAAGAGAAACCATTTCCTTGATTGTGTAAGGAACTTGCTGGACGCACATTAGAGAATAAAGCTCCTGTTTCTAGGCTCCTATGTGCCACCTGTGTCCCTGCTACTGCCACTCCACCCCCACTCTGGGGAGGGGAAGCCCTCCCTGGGGAAGTGGAATGCAAGGGACAGAGTTTGTGGAGTGCCACCTGTGGTCTGTCACCTCCAACGTCGCACAGTGGGTGCTGGCCCAACAGTGAAACATGGAAGATCCAGGAGGCCTTCGCATGGCCATTTCTCCAGGGACCTGCAGGGAAAGCGTTCTGGGAACAGCATGTGCAAGGGTCCAGAGGAGCGAGGGCTTGGGGCCACTGAGGCGCTGTGGCTGGTGAAGAGCAGTGGGGCGGGAGGGACCATCAGGGTGACAGCAAAGGGCCCTGTGACTCTCAGATGAAAGCTGCCTGCCGGGAGGCCGAGGCTTCGTGTGGAGCACTTGTGAACCATCCCATCTGTTGTGCGGATCCTGGATTTTACAGGGCAGGGGCAGCACTGGTGGCGATGGAGGGAGGTGGGAGGACTGCCGACGGCAGGACACGGGGTGGGAATGGTTTGACGGAGGGAGAAGGTGCAGTGTTTCTGGCTTGCTCATTTGTTGGTGGGTCAGGGTCTCCCAATGGCAGCCGACAACAGGGAATATGGCTCTGAGGCTCAGGGGAGTGCCGGGTGCGCAGCATCAGTGGTCAGCAGGAACACCTGGGGCTCACATCACCTCCTGGACTGGCTTGACACATGCCCCATGGACTAAGTTGGCCGACAGAAGAGATTGGCTGCATCTAAAACTGAAAATATATCTGAAATATGCAAAGAATTCCTGCAAACCAGCAAAGGACAGCAGCCCCAACAGAAGAGGCAGAGGCCGTGAACAGGGGAAGAAGGAGGCCCAACCGTAACAGGAGTAGCGAGAGGTGCTCAGACCCCTTGGTAATTAGAGAAACGTAAGCCCACATGAGACGCCACCTTACACTGGGTAGCCTGGTGCTGAGTGGGAGATCAGGAGCCCCCAGGGCCCCGAGAACCAATCCAGGTGGGTATGAGCATGCTCTCCACCCTGCTGTCTGGGGACGGGTAGCGAGTGTGGAGAAACCAACTCAAAACGTTTTCCTCCGCTCTCACTGTGCACAACAGTCAACCCAGAAGACTTCTGTGACCACGCGAGGGATTTGTCACGGGACAGCTGCTGGGTGCCCACCAATTCAATTCAATTCAACCTAACTGCTGCCTGCCAGGAGGTAGCTTCAGAAACCCCAAGTTGAGGGCTCAGTCCCACGAGACCACCCCTAACTTCCCACCAGTCTGAGGTCTGGGCCTGCAGAACTTGACACACTGTCTTCAACTTGGGGTTCCCACGACTCCTCTTTTAGGTTCAATTAATTTGCTAGAGTGGTTCACAAGTCAGGGAAACATTTACTTATATTTAGCAGGTTTTAATAATTTTGTTGTTGTTGAGACAGCGTCTCACTCTCAGTGTGCAAGGGCGTGATCTCGGCTCACTGCAACCTCCGCCTCCTGGGCTCAAGCGATTCTCATGCCCCAGCCTCCCAAATAGCTGGGATTATAGGTGCCTGCCACTATGCCTGGCTAATTTTTGTATTTTTAGTAGAGACGGGGTTTCACCATGTTGGCCAGGCTGGTCTTGAACTCCTGACCTCAAGTGATCTGCCTGCCTTGGCCTCCCAAAGTGCTGGGATTACAGGCATGAGCCACCAAGCCCAGCCTAAATTTTTTATTTTTTTATTTTTTAAGGGTTGGGCATTGATGGAGTTCCCAGTGATGAATAAGAGCTGAATGGGCCCAGGGCCTCAGCCCCACCCTACTGGCTTACTAAAAAGGCTATTACGGAGAATTCAGATGAAGAGATGCACGGGGCGAGGTGTGGGGGAAGGGGCACAGAGCTTGTGTGCCCTCCCCGGGGTGTCACCCTCCAGGAACCCCCACATGGTCGGCTATTCAGAAGCTCCCCAAACCCTGGCCTTTTGGGTTTTTATGGAGGTCTCATTATGCAGGCATGATTGAATAAACCACTGGCCACTGGTTATCAACTGAACCTTCAGCCCTGCCCCTCCCTGGAGGTGTGGCGGGGGGTGGAGACCGAAAGTCCCAGTCCTCTAGTCCTGTCTTGGTCTTTCCATAACCAAGCTACCTAGATGCTGCCAGCCACCTCATTAGCACACAAAAAGACATCAGTGTGGAGTTTCTGAGGATTTTAAAGTTGTTTGCTAGGAAAGGGGTCAAAGACCAAATACACATGTTTTTTTTAATGAGACAGGGTCTCACACTGTTGCCCAGGCTGGAGTGCAGTGGCGCAATCACGGCTCACTGCAGCCTCCATTTCCCTAGGCTCGGGATCCTCCCACCTCGGAATCCTGAGTAGCTGTGTCCACAGGCACGCACCACCATGCCCAGCAAATATTTGTATTTTTGCAGAGACAAGGTTTTGCCATGTTGCACAGGCTGGTTATGAAGTCCTGGGCTCAAGCGATCCTCCCACCTTGGCCTTCCAAAGTGCTGGGATTACAGGTGTGAGCCACCTTGCCTGGAACCAGATATATACTTCACAGTATCACAGGTAGCTAAAGTAAAAAAAATGGCCAGAAAGTGTTGTGTGCACCCAGGACAAAATTCTGGAGGAGCTGAACAGGAAACACAGAGAGGTGCCCTGCCCCAAGCCTATGTACCCACCCCACCCAGGCAGCATGTGATTCTTCTTTGGAGTCCCCCATCAGTAGCCTGGGTGTTCCCTGCACAGGGGGGCTACATCCATGATCAACTGGCAAGGAGCAGGCAGGCCCCCAGCACCCCATGTCTGAGGCCCAGCCAGACATCTCCCACCCACAAGGAGGCTCAGGAGGCTGGGCAGGGACGCAGCACCTCCTGGGGATTTAACCCAGCCGGGGCTTGCAGGCAAGAGGGGAGTGAAGGAATGACACTCTGTCCTCACCCAGGGCCGTCCTGCTGGATGGAGTCACAGGGACGGCAGGGGCCTCTCCAGAGCTGCCTGTGGGCACAGAAGCAAGCCTGGGGGTGCCCCACCAGCCTGAGCCCATCACGCCCCCCTTGAATATCCTTGGGGTTGAGCACTCTGACAACGGAGCCACCTGGAGAGGTCCCTTCCAGGGAATGGCTTCGCCAGGGCACAGAGTAAGGGCGTGTGGCATAAGCAGGGCCTCCCGAGGGGCCTGCAGCCCGCAGGCTGAACTGTGGCGATCACGCCGAGTGGGGTCGAGGACTCCAGCCCCTCCCCACCATAAAAATGAACTGGCCATTGTAATTGTAAACCAACATTTTCGCGGCTCTGATGTGTAACAGCATAAGGCAAAAGCACTGGGCGTGCCACACTACCCAGCCCCCAACCCAGCAAGGCTTCATGGAGGCCCTGGCACTACCTGCGGGTGGGGGGCAGCATGGATCCAGGGTGGAGGTCAGCCCGCAATCCATGCCATTGAATGAGGCAAGAACTCGAGTGGAGACGTAACACTCCAGCTCACAGTGGCATCCGAATGCCTTCCACACGGTGCTGCCCGTGTCCCCATCCCCACCCCCACCCAAAAAACTTCCTGCACCTGCCAAAGGAGACTGAGACAGACACCTGCCTGGGGCAGGGTTCAAAACAGATATAGCTGGTTTATTTTGGAAACAAGTCTCATCCAGAAATGTTATTTACTGCATTTAAAAACCATGGAAGGCGATTTGCATGGTTCCTCCCCACGCCCTCACTCCCACCAAGTACAGCTTTACCACCCAAGGTCCTTTCAGGACCCCAGGCCTGGCGGCTGTAGGAGAGAGCAGT
This sequence comes from Homo sapiens, assembly GCF_000001405.40. NCBI lineage: Eukaryota > Metazoa > Chordata > Mammalia > Primates > Hominidae > Homo > Homo sapiens. The sequence goes on along the minus strand of NC_000020.11, from coordinate 3,223,674 downwards.
GAATCCTAAGGGCAAGAGAATGGCGTCCACTTGCCAGAGTTTCTCAGAGCAGAGCCAGCTGCTCCTCCAGACAGGCCGGTGAGGCTACTCGACACCCTCACAAAGGGGAAACCCTGAAGGAAGTACTTCAGGGGGTGCCTGCCCGATGCGGGAGGTTTTGGGCTAGCCCTCCCCAGATCCCCGGCCTGAGGGGCCTCCTCCAGCTGCAGAAGTCAAGCTGCCAAACTGCCAAAGTACTCCTGCAGCTCCAGCAGGGCCCGGAAGCGATGGGAGACAGCGTTCTTCTCCGCCTTAGGCATCTCTGCGTACCTGAGGGGTGACAGTAGCAGCTCAGGGAGCCCAGATTCAGGAAGGAAGTGCACCCCCTCCCAACCCTACCTCATCTCATCCCTGGAGACCAAAGCTCACAGACCCCAAGGAAAGGGGAGTGGGGCCCAGCAGCTCCTGGCAGCCAGTGAATTTTTAAAAATCGGATAAAGTTTTCAATTCCCCTGTAGGCAGAAACCCCCATGAATGAGCATGGAGGGGTATTAAACTTGCTCTAGTGTGCCCAAAAGTCATTAAGGGAAGCTGGGGACAGGGGGGGATGAGCTGCATGTTTGATCAGCTTTGTCATCTGTTGACAGGAAGCAGTGGGGCCTGACAGAGCAAACACAGCAGTCTCCTCTCATGCGCTGAGGGCGGGGGAGCACTTGAACAGCTGGCCAGGGGCCCGACCTCCATGCCAGCACCGCAGTGAGGTGAGAATCCCATACCCCGCCCGTGGCCTGCAGACTGCTCTGTGCAAGACGGCGGCCAGTAGCCACTAGCCAGGTGTGGCTATTTAAATGAATTAACGCTGAACAGAAATATTCCGTTTCTGGGTCTCACCACACGCAAGTGCTCCACAGCCCCATATGGCTAGTGGCTGGTTCCACAATGTCCTCACCCCTGCTGGGGCTATTGTGGGGCCTCACACTGCGCTCCCTAAGGGCCCCTCCAGCTTGGAAAGCCTGATTCCAACAATGGCCCGTGCCTTGTGTGAACAAGGGGCGATTTGTGCGAACTACAGAGAACAACTGGTACTTGGAGGGCATAAAATAGTGCCCACCAGAGGCTGCAAAAGCCTGGACATTTTCCCAACCTAGATGGGGGTCAGAAAATGATGCCATAAAACTGTCAGATGTGGCCAGGCGCGGTGGCTCACGCCTGTAATCCCAGCACTTTGGGAGGCCGAGGTGGGCGGATCACCTGAGGTCAGTTTGAGACCAGCCTGGCCAACATGGTGAAACCCCGTCTCTAACAAAAATAACAAAAATTAGCTGAGCACGGTGGTGCGTGCCTGTAATCTCAGCTGAGACAGGAGAATTGCTTGAACCTGGGAGGCAGAGGGTGCAGTGAGTTGAGATCACGCCGTTGCACTCCAGCCTGGGCAACAAGAGTGAAACTCCATCTCAAAAAAAAAAAAAAAAAAGTCAGATGTACAGCTTACAAGCCAAGGCCAGAAAGGCGAAACCACTGGCTACACAGCTGATGTGGGGTGACCTGGAGCCTTAGAGCCCAGGACTCTCAGTGCCATCTGGCTGCCTCCCCAACCATGGACTGGGCCACCCAGATTCCTAGTGTCCACCCCAGCAGAGCTGCCTGTGGCTGGAACAGCACCCTGGGAGCCTCCCCTGCCCATATCCGCATGCCTGCACTTGGGCGGGGCACTGGCCCAACCCAAACCATGGCTGTACCAACCCCACACCCCAGGGAAGAAAAGCAGGGCTCCTTACGTCTGCTCATATCCATCAGGCTGAAAGCAGGGGTCCCAGCCAAAGTCCTGGCAGCCTCTGGGTGCCACGATCCGGCCCTGCCACAGGAAAGGGGGGACAGGTGTGTAACTGGGTCCAGAGGACAAGCACGAGGAGGGCAGTGGCCAGTATGAGTTTGGTGAGTCTGTGAATTTGATTTGACCCAACTTACGCAAAATGTAGTTGCAAGGCCCCTACAGCACCTGCAAATGTTTGCTGAATACAATAAAAAGCAGAGCGGGGCAGCTCTTCCCTCACACACAGGGAGGAGGCATGGACCCACAGGACCACCAGCACCTCCGGGGCCACGCGCCCTCGCCAGCCACACCCGGGACAAATTGGGACATCACTGAAGAACAATGAGGCTACTTTGAAAGATAGACAGAAAGAAAGATAGACAGAAAACGTTTTCTCCTAATAGGAAGCTAAGTACCCTGAACTCCGTGGACAAGCCAGATGCCGGCTACTATGACAGCGTTCCTGAAAATACAAGGAAGACTTTAACAATAAGATGAAACACCGCAACAGGAAGCAGGTACCCAACTCCCCACTTCATGAACACATTAGTGAGTACAATACGTACTGGCTGTAGTAGGGAAATTCCACAGTGAAAATGTTAGAAAAAGAACAAATTGTAATCCAGTGACATGAAATGTCATGTTGTTATCAAAGTAAAAAAAAAAAAGAAAGAAAAGAAAAAGAAAATCTGGCCAGGCGCGGTGGCTCATGCCTGTAATCCCAGGACTTTGGGAGGCTGAGGTGGGAAGATCACTTGAGCCCAGGAAATTGAGACCAGCCTGAGCCACGTGGCAAAGGCGAAACCCCATCTCTACAAAAAATACAAAAATTAGCCTAGCCTGGTGGTGTAAGCCTGTAGTCCCAGCTACCTGGTGGGAAGACTGCTTGAGCCCAAGAGGTCGAGGCTGCAGTGAGCTGTGATCCAGTCCGGGCGACAGACAGAGACAAACACTCCAAACAAACAAACAAACACTCCAAAAAACAAACAAAAAAACCCAAAAGATTCTAACTGAAAAAAATACAAGGGACCAGGTGTGGTAGCTCACGCCTGTAATCTCAGCGCTTGGGGAGGCCGAGGAGGGAGGATGGTTTAAACCCAGGAGTTCGAGACCAGTCTGGGCAACACAGTCAGACTCTATCTCTACCAATTTTTTTTTTTTTTTTAATTAGCCAGATGTGGTAGCTCACACCTGAGGTCCTAGCTACTCGGAAGGCTGAGGTGGGAGGATGACTTGAGCCTGAGAGATCAAGGCTGCTATGAACGGTAGTCATGCCACTACACTCCAGCCTGGGTGACAAAGCAAGACCCTGTCTCAAAAACATTTTTTTTTACTCTTTAAAAAATACAACGGAGGTGGTACATGATTGGGATTAGTCACATAGATGCCAAGTAATTTAGACCCAAAGGCAAATTCTGCTTCTGCCGTGAGGAGCTGCGTGACTAAGGCCAGTTACTGAACCTCAACCACGCAACAAATGTTTTTTGCTCACGCCTATAATCCCAGCTACTCGGCAGGCTGAGGCAGGAGAATTGCTTGAACCCAGGAGATGGAGGTTGCACTTTGGGAGAATGAGGCCAGCGGATCACTTAAGGTCGGGAGTTCAAGACCAGCCTGGGCAACATAGTGAAACCCTGTCTCTACCAAAAATACAAAAATTAGCCGGGTGTGGTGGTGCACGCCTGTAGTCCCAGTTACTCTCCAGGGTGGGAGATCACCTGAGCCTGGGAGGTGGAGGCTGTCGTGAGCAGTGATAGGCAGTAGGGGGTGTTGAATACATCTCACGGAAGGAATAAGTTTGGGCAAATAATTAAGGTTTGTTTTTTTTTTTTTTTTTTTGAGACTGGGTCTCACTCCGTCACTCCATGGCTGGAGTGCAGGAGTGCGATCATAGCTCACTGTCCCGTCAAACTCCGAGGCTCAGGTGATCCTCCCACCTCAGCCTCCCAAGTAGCTAGGACTACAGGTGTGCACCACCATGTCCGGCTATTTATTTATTTTTGAGACAGGGTCTGGCTATGTTACCCAGGCTGGTCTCAAACTCCTGGCCTCAAGCAATCCTCCTGCCTTTGCTTCACAAAGTGCTGGGATTACATGTGTGAGCCTCTGTGCTCAGCCTCTTTTTTTTTTTTTTTTGGAGACGGAGTCTCACTCTTGTTGCCCAGGCTGGAGTGCAGTGGCGAGATCTCAGCTCACTGCAACCTCCGCCTCCTGGGTTCAAGTGATTCTCCTGCCTCAGCCTCCCCAGTAGCTGGGATTACAGGTGCCTGCCACCATGCCCAGATATTTTTTGTATTTTTAGTTGAGACGGGGTTTTGCTGTGTTATCCAGGCTGTTCTTGAACTCCTGACCTCAGGTGATCCGCCCGCCTCAGCCTCCCAAAGTGCTGGGATTACAGATGTGAGCCATCACGCCCGGCCTCATTTTAAAATTTTTTGCAAAGATGGGGTCTTGTTATGGTGTCCAGGCTGATCTTGAACACCTGGGCTCAAGAAAGCCTCCCGCTGGGGCCTCGCAAAGTGCTAGGATTACAGGTGTAAATCACCAAACCTGGCCAAGAATTAACATTCTATGCTTGAACCCTGGAGGCGGAGGTTGCAGTGAGCCGAGACGACACCACTGCACTCCAGCCTGGGCAACACAGCAAGACTTTGTCTCAAAAAAAAAAAAAAAAAAAAAAAAAAAAGAATTAAGATTCTATTATACATAAACATGAAAAGCTGGAAAGGCTGAGAGATAGTCAAGCACCTTGGCAGTTGAATAAGGAAATCTGAGGTTAGAGAAGTCTGGGCTATAGATGTAGCTTTGATCCAAGTGTGGTTTCTCACTAACAAAAAATAAATAAATAAATAAAATAAACAGAAAAAAATAGCTTTGGGAATTGTCACCTTCAGTTTGCACTTCTGGGTCTATCAGGCCTCAGGAGCTGTTAGCCAACTGTTTCCCTGAAACAACAGCCTCAGGGGTCAAACAGGTTTCAGAATTGACAACACTTCCATTGTCCTGCCCAGGGGCACCCCTCAGCAAGGCGTAGGCAACTACTCTGGCCCCAGGGAACCCTTTCCACCACCCTCCTAGGATCCACAGCACTTCTACCTATGCTGCGCAGGGGAGCCTCTCAGCAAGGCACAGATATCTCTGGCCCCAAGGCGCCCCTCCCACCACCCTCCCGCAGACTCGGGGCGGTCGGCTCGGGTCGCGGCACCCCCTGGCGGCGCGCGGCGGGAACTGCATCAAGGTGGGTACGCACCGAGGTCCGGCCCCTGAACAGGCGCACGGGCTGGCTTGGGTCCCCGGTGCTGAGTGCAAACGTGCAGAGCGCATAGGCTGACTTGTCCTCGAACCCGGCCAGGAGCTGGTGGAGACCTGCGGGTGGGCAGTGAGGGCTCAGTGCATCCCTAATGGCCAACTCCCACCCCCACTCCCAAGACGCCCACTAAGGGTGGGGAGGGAGGAATTCCCTAAAAGGGGAAATTAGGTCTCAATTGGGGTAGCGGGGGCGGCAGAGCCCAAGGCAGTGGGACTAGGCTTGAAATGGAAGTCTCTGGGCATTCTCGCTTCCCTCTGGCACAGGCTGACGATACAAGGCTTTATTTAAAGTCAGAAAACTAGCCAATGCAGTGTGGACCTTGTTTGATTTCCTGATTCAAAACTAACCAACTGTAGGCCGGGCGTGGTGGCTCATGCCAGTAATCCCAGCACTTTGGGAGGCCGGGTCGGGCAGATTATGAGGTCAGGAGATCGAGACCATCCTGGCTAACACGGTGAAACCCCGTCTCTACTAAAAATACAAAAAAATTAGCCGGGCGTGGTGGCTGATGCCTGTAGCTCCAGCTGCTCGGGAGGCTGAGGCAGGAGAATGGTGTGAACAAGGGAGGCGGAGCTTGCAGTGAGCCGAGATCGGGCCACTGCACTCCAGCCTGGGCGACAGAGCGAGACTCCATCTCAGGAAAGAAAAAACAAAAACAAAAAAAAACCCACAAAAACTAACCAACTGTAATAGGCACTTTTTCTACAACCAAGGAAATCCAAAAAATGATTATGTAGTATTTTAAAATGATTATAGTTTACTTGTTTAACAGTTTTTAAATTTTTCACCTTTTAGAAATACAGTGGCTGCACTCGGTGGCTCATACCTGTAATCCCAACACTTTGGGAGGCCAAGGCGGGTGGGTTGCTTGAGCTCAGGAGTTTGATATCAGCCCCAGCAACATAGCAAGACCTCACCTCTACAAAAAACACAAAAATTAGCTAGGCATGGTGGCTTACACCTGTAGTCCCAGCTCCTCAGGAGGCTAAGGTGGGAGGATGGCTTGAGCCCTGATGGTGGGCAGTGAGCCGAGATTGAGCCACTGCACTCCAGCCTGGGCAACACAGGGAGACCCTTGTCTCCAAAAAAAATTAAAACAAATAAAAATAAAAATAAATACAAGCTGAAGAACTTACTGATGATATGATGTCTGTGATTTGCCTTAAAATACTGGACTGAGGAAAAATAAGGGGGGTTACAGATGTCACAAAATAGGCCTCGTGCTGATAACCCTGGAAGCTGGTTGATGGCAACTGAGGTTCATTATTCTACTATGCTTTTTTTAATTGACAAATAATAACTGTATATATTTATGCCCATTATCCTATTATGATATTCTACTATGCAGGTTTGAAATGCTCTATAATGTAAAGTGTTTTTAAAAGCACATAAGGATGGGTGCGGTAACTCATGCCTGTAATCTCAGCATTTTGGAAGGCCGAGGTGGGTGGATCACCTGAGGTTAGGAATTCGAGATCAGCATGGCCAACGTGGTGAAACCCTGTCTCTACTAAAAATACAAAAATTAGCTAGGCGTGGTGGTGGGCACCTGTAATCCCAGCTACTTGGGAGGCTGAGGCAGGAGAATCACTTGAACTCAGGAGGCAGAGGTTGCAGTGAGCCAAGATCACACCACTGCACTCTAGCCTGGGCGATGGAGTGAGGTTCTGTCTCAAAAAAATAAAATAGGCTGGGAGTGGTGGCTCATGCCCGTAATCCCAGCACTTTGGGAGGCCGAGGTGGGACCACCTGAGGTCAGGTGTTTGAAACTAGCCTGGCCAACATGGCGAAACTCCGTGTCTACTAAAAATACAAAAATTAAGCCGGGCTCAGTGGATCACGCCTGTAAACCCAGCACTTTGGGAGGCTGCGATGGGTGGATCGCCTGAGGTCAGGAGTTCGAGACCAGCCTGGCCAATATAGTGAAACCCCTCTACAAAAAATACAAAAAATTAGCTGGTCATGGTGGCAGGTGCCTGTAATCCCAGCTACTAGGGAGGCTGAGGCAGGAGAATCACTTGAACCCGGGAGGCGGAGGTTGTAGTGAGCCGAGATCGTGCCATTGCGCTCCAGCCTGGGCAACAAGAGTGAAACTTGTCACAAAAAAAAAAAAAAGGCCAGGCATGGTAACTCACACCTGTAATCCCAGCACTTTGGGAGGCCGAGGCAGGCAGATCACGAGGTCAGAAGATTGAGACCATCCTGGCCTACATGGTGAAATCCCAACGCTACTAAAAATACAAAAATTAGCTGGGCATGGTGGCACGTGCCTGTAGTCCCAGCTACTCAGGAGGCTGAGGCAGGAGAATCGCTTGAATCCGGGAAGTGGAGGTTGGAGTGAGCCGAGATCATGCCACTGCACTCCAGCCTGGGCGACAGAGCAAGACTTTGTCTCAAAAAAAAAAAAAAAAAAAACTTAGCCAGCGTGCTGGCGCATGCCTGTAATCCCAGTTGCTTGGGAGGCTGAGGCAGGAGGATCGCTTGAACCAGGGAGGCAGAGGTTGCAGTGAGCCGAGATTGACGCACTGCACCCCAGCCTGGGCGACAGTGAGACTCCATCTCAAAAATATAAATAAGTAAACAAATAGGCTGGGTGTTGTGACTCACATCTGTAATCCCAGCACTCTGGGAGGCCAAGGTAGGCGGATCACTTGAGGTCAGGTGTTCGAGACTGGCCTGGCCAACATGGTGAAACCCCCTCTCTACTAAAAATACAAAAATTAGCAGGGCGTGGTGGTGGGCGCCTGTAATCCCAGCTACTTGGAAGGCTAAGGCAGGAGAATCGCTTGAACCCAAGAGGCAGAGGTTGCAGTGAGTCGAGATCACACCGGTGTACTCCAGCCTGGGCAACAGAGTGAGACCCTGTCTCTAAATAAATAAAAGCACATAAAGAGGGGACATTTTGGCTTGCAACTGTGGGTGACAGGATATGCACTGCTGGGGTCCAGGAGGGGCAGTCCTCCAACTCCCAGGGCAGGCCCTGGCTAAGGCAGTCACAAGGGCCAAGTTCCTCTTGAAACCCAGAATTAAGTACAGCCCCTTTGTTCCTCAACCCTGCAGCTCCCATCATCCCTCCCCCACACAGTGCTCTCTGGAGTACAGGGTACGAGCTGCAGGTGCTAGATGGGGAAAATGAGGTGGAGGCTCCATGGTGGGGGCTAGAACCTGGGACTCCTGATTACTAGTTGGGGTCCCTCCCCTAGACAAAGCCCAGATTCTCATTCCCAACAGATCCAGGGAAGAAACAAAGCAGATAATACCTTCAGGCTTTAACTTCTCCAGAAACCACTTTCTGCAAGAGAAAGAAAGGACAGTCAGACACCAGGAGCAGCTGGATCTTCTTACCACCTTTTCCAGGCTGTTCCCTATTGACAGCCAAGGGGAAATGAAAAAGAATGCCTCCAAGAGCCAGGCGAGGTGGGTCCCGCCTATAATCCCAGCACTTTGGGAGGCTAAGGCAGGCGGATCGCTTGAGCTCAGGAGTTTGAGAAAAGCTTGGACAACGTAGCAAAATCCTATCTCTACAAAAAATGCAAAAAAACTGGCTAGGCATGTGCCTGCAGTCCCAGCTACTTGGGAGGCTGAGGCAGGTGGATAGCTTGAGCCCAGGGAGTGAGCTGTGATCACACCACTGCACTCCTACCTCAGCGACAGACTGAGACCCTGTCTCACACACCAAAAATAAATAAATACAGGCCGGGCGCGGTGGCTCATGCCTCTAATCCCAGCACTTTGGGAGGCCAAGAAGGGCAGATCACGAGGTCAGGAGATGGAGACGATCCTGGCTAACATGGTGAAACCCCGTCTCTACTAAAAATACAAAAAATTAGCCAGGTGTGGTGGTGGGCGCCTGTAGTCCCAGCTACTCGGGAGGCTGAGACAGGAGAATGGCGTGAACCCGGGAGGCAGAGCTTGCAGTTAGCGGAGATCGCGCCACTGCACTCCAGCCTGGGCGACAGAGCGAGACTCTTGTCTCAAAATAAAATAAAATAAAATAAAATAATTAAAAAATTAAAAATAAATAAATAAATACAAAAAATTAGCTGGGTGTGGTGACGCACACCTGTAGTCCCAGTTACCCAGGAGGCTGAGGTGGGAAGATCACCTGAGCCTGGCAGGTGGAGACTGCAGTGAGCTATGATCATGCCACTGCACTCCAGCCGTCTGGGTAACAGAGAGAGACTGTATCAAAAAAAAAAAAAAAAAAAAGAAAGGAAGAAAGAAATCAAGTTTTAGATTCCAACTTCCTTGTTTTCTCTTTCCTGAAATTAATCTACCTATGAATGTACTTCTCAAATGCGTGGGGTCCCCTTTACCATCTCCACTTACAGGTCGCATTCTCACACTTTACAAAAGAAAGGCATGCTTCTCCTATCCCGTCTTTCCTCGGGACAACGTGAAAGGCTGTTGATGCTAAGACAGGGAATGACCTGCAGTATCAGGTACCTCATCATTTTGCAGTTCTGGTGGTTTTGGGCCTGACGCCCTGTAAGGGGGTGGAGGTAGTCACTCACATGTAGGGGCCGGGGAGCCCTCCAAGGGCATTGAAGCACAGACAAGTGTCCTCAACCAGCACGGGCCCCTGTACCTGCAGCACAAAGACATACAGCCCTGAGACCCATGATCACCATCCCCACCTGGAACGTCCAGGTCACCCGCGTCACCCAGGCTGGGGCCAGCCCTCAGCTAGCTGAGATCTGTGGCAGACAGCACCATGGGAGCTGCCCTCGGCCAATCTCTTAACTTTGGCCAATCTCTTATCTTATGAGGACACCAAGCTTTGGCCGATTGTTAAAGCTTGCTCCAGGCACAGCAATGGGAGAGCTGGGATTCACACTCAGCCTGACTCTCCGCAGCGTGCTTTCTCAGTTCCACGAACATGTGTGAATGCAGCGGTGGATGTGTGTGGGGAGGATGTAGGGCTGGAATCCATTGTCTGAGCATTTGGGGGAAGGGGAGTCTGTGTGTACGTGGGAGTGTATGGTGGTGGTCTGGGGGAGATACCATGTATTCAAGGCTGGCAAAGGAAGGCAGTGTTCCAAAGCCAATATTAACTGAACCCTAGAGGACTCTGGGCCGGTCCTAGAAAGCTCAACAAACTGTGTCTACTCTATTGTTTCTAGCAGGCGCAGGCCCTGGAAGCTACCTGGACAAGAAGAGCAAGTGTGGGACAAGGGCAGGGCAAGCACCTGGCGAACTGCCTCCTGACATTTCTGTATGGAAATCTCATCCGGCTCCCCCTGGTACTCCGGCACTTATCAGGGAAACAGACACACAGAAAGTCAGGTCACAGGAAGACAGAGAAATCCAACCATCTTTTAAAAATAAAACAAAACAGAGACATACGGTCAATTTTCTGTGCCACCAAAGTGCATGGAAACTTATCTCCTAGAATCTGAACGACCTGTTCCAAGAGAAAAGAGAACACTTATCACCATCTAGTGATTCTCCATGTGAGCACGTGAGCTGTCATCCGCCTTTCTCATCGATAACTCTGCTGCCCATCTCCTAAAGCTTACCAACTCAGGCCTGTGGGCCTCACCCCGGCTTTCAGGGTCCCACCCCAGCAAGCCAGCCCCTTCCATCTCCTTGCTTCTCTATCTCTTCTACGTCAGGTCTCTGCTTGTGCTAAGCCCCCATCCAGAACACACTCTTCTCTTCTCAATGCTCCCAGAAACCCTAGCCATCCTCCTAGACCAGGAATTCTCTAACAGAAGATACCCAGAATTCAGAAGGCCTATGAACATGGATTGGGAAAAAAAACTTTATTCTTAGTAACCCTTAATTGAAATGTAGTAACTTTTTCAATTATGAATATAGGTAACAAACCAAAATATTACTAGCAGTGCCTGTGACTTTTAACCCTACTAAAATCACAGATGTTGTTATAACTCATTACAATTGCTGCAGATATCTCAAAATATCATTTATCTTGATATTTTAAAATTAAGGGGCTGGGTCCTGTGGCTCACGCCTGTAATCTTAGCACTTTTGGAGGCCAAGGTGGGCAGATTGCTTGAGCCCAGAAGTTTGAGACTAGCTTGAGCAACATGGCAAAACCCCATCTTTACAAAAAATACAAAAATTAGCTGGGCATAGTGGCATGTGCCTGAAGTTCCAGCTACTCAAGAGGCTGGGGCAGGAGGATTGCTTGAGCACAGAAGGTTGAGGCTACAGTGAGCCAAGATTGCACCATTGCACTCCAGCCTTAGGCGACAGAGTGAGACTCCGTCTCAAAAAAAAAAAAAAATTAAGATAATTACTCATACATTGGTAGATTGAATCCTTTAATGCATTAATAAAGTATATATAACTAAATCACAAATATTTGTAACATTTTGATAATTGTACTTCACTTTAGTTGACTTCCTTTGTAATCCTATGTATTTTATTTTTTTTTGAGAGAGGGTCTCTCTCTCTGTCACCCAGGCTGGAGTACAGTGGCACAAACACAGCTCACTAGAGCCTCAACCTCCTGGGCCCAAGAGATCCTCCTCCCATGTACCTAGAACCACAGGTGGCCCAGGTACCATGCTTAGGCTAATTATTTGTAGAGCTAGGGTCTCACTTTGTTGCCCAGGCTGGTCTTGAACTCCTCGGCTCAAGAGATCCTCCTTGAGCCTCAGTCTCCCAAAGTGCTGGGATTACAGGTATGAACCACAGTGCCCAGCCTATAATACCATGTATTTTATTTTGTACATTTGAAACTATTTTCCTGAGAAAGATTCCATAGGTTTCCTCAGTCTGCCAATGGCATACCACTAGTTAAGACTACCCGTTCGGCCAGGCACGGTGGCTCACGCATGTAATCTAACACTTCGGGAGGCCCTGGCGGGCGGATCACCTGAGGTCGGGAGTTCGAGACCAGCCTGACCAACATGGAGAAACCCCATCTCCACTAAAAATACAAAAATTAGCTAGGTGTGGTGGCACACACCTGTAGTCCCAGCTACCAGGAAGGCTGAGGCATGAGGATTGCTTGAACCCAGGAGGCGGAGGTTGCAGTGAGCTGAGATCGTGCCACTGCACTCCAGCCTGGGCAACAGAGTGAGACTTTGTCTAAACAAACAAACAAACAAAACAAAACAAAACAAAAACACAGCTGGGCTAGGTGGTTCATGCCTGTAATTCTAGCACTTTGAAAGGCCGAAATGGGTGGAGGGTGGATCACTTGAGGTCAGGGGTTAGAGACCAGTCTGGCCAACATGACGAAATCCCGTTTCTACTAAAAATACAAAAATTAACCAGGCGTGGTGATACATGCCTGCAATCCCAGATACTCGGGAGGCTGAGGCAGGAGAATTGCTTGAACCCAGGAGGCGGAGGTTGCAGTCAGCAGAGATCGCACCACTGCACTCCAGCCTGGGCGACAGAGTGAGACTCTGTCTCAAAGAAAAAAAAAAAAAGACTACCTGTTCTAGGCCAAGTGTTCAAGTCCATGTTCTCCAAGGAGTCTCCCTTGGCTACTCTAGTGCCTTCTTCTTCTTCTTCTTCTTTTTTTTTTTTTATTTGAGACAGAGTCTCACTCTGTCACTCAACTCTTACCCAGGCTGGAGTACAGTGGCGTCATCTCAGCTCACTGTAACCTCCGCTTCCTAGGTTCAAGCGATTCTCCTGTCTCAGCCTCCCGAGTAGCTGGGACTACAGGCACGTGTCACCATGCCCAGTTAATTTTTGTATTTTTAGTAGAGATGAAGTTTCATGATGTTGGCCAGGCTGGTCTTGAACTCCTGACCTCAGATGTTCTGCCCACCTCAGCCTCCCAAAGTGCTGGGATTACAGGCGTGAGGCACTGCACTCGGGTTCCAGCTCCTTCTTTAAGTGAGGGCAATATTCTCAGCCAGAGGTTTGGGGTCTCATGCCCACTGTCCTGCATGGGCTCTGTTCAGGGTGGACTGCCTGACTGGTCTGGCCTCAGGATCCCAAACCTTTTTTCGGCAAAAGGCTCTGGTTCCTGAGAAGGCCACTCAGTCCTGGCACCAAAGTGACATCAGTCCCTCCCTACACTACAGGCAAATGTAGGTGTCCCTAGTGATTACACCCCACTGGTCTGCCTCAGACATATCCAGTGGGTGTCATCCTGATCCCCCACACATGACCCCCACTCCATGGCTATGGCTGATTGAACAGGGGCAAACTCTTGATTCAAGCAAAGCCAGTCGGAGCTGATATCTGGTAGAAGCCTCATTGTTCCATCCCCCAGCAGGGAAGAAAGGGGAAAGATATGAACAGGAATAGGGATCAGCATCCAGAGAGAACAAGGACAAGTCAGCTTCTTGAGAGAACTTCAGGTCCTGTGGGACACGATAACACTATATTCCCACAGGAGTCATCTGGTGGCTTACATGAGCTCCCTGTGTGTTTCTGTTACTTGCTAGCCACAAAGTCCCTGCAAACAGAAACTTTAGATCCACTGCCTCCTTTACTCCTCCTCTCTATAGCGCTGTGAAGCAAATGTCCTGCATCATCCCCATTTCACACACGCGAAAAGAGGTTAGAACATTTCAGGACGGTGGTGAGGCACGGACTGCTCAGTGTGGAACTCCGTCCCACGCCCTCTCTGGGTCCTGCTAGCCCTGGCCCAGCAGCGGGATGTGGATAAGTCCCAGAAGAGTGTCGGGACACTGGGTTGGGGTCTACTTCAATAGGTGACCTTCGGGGCGGTTGTTAAGAGCCCCGCTACTCCTCCGGGTCCCGCAGTCGCTGACCACACAAGCCCTGTGTCGGGATCTGTCGAGACCCTCGTTCCCTCGCCAACCCCGGGGCGCCCCGATTCTGCAGCCACTCCCTTCTTGCGCCCCAGCTTTTCCACACAGCCGGGTCAGGACCCATTCTTCCGGGCTGAATTCTGTTCTCTCTCCATGCCTCCTCCCACGTGCTTCCCTCCTCCCGGAAGCCCCTTCTCCGCCCTATTCCCAGCCGCCTCCCAGTTAGCCCCCAACACCCTCCCGGCACCTCCTCCAGCTTCTTGGCGTTCCCCGTTACAAACACGATCTTCTTCCCCACCAATGAGGCCGCCATGGTGATCCCCGGTTACCCAGCTGAGCCACCGAAAACTCCTTGGCGTCCAGTGACAGAAAACTTCCGGCTGGTGGCGGAAGTGAACGGCTCAGTTTCCGGCCAGGGGTCCCGGGGAAAGCCGACCCGGACCCCAAGGCGCGTATCGGGCGAGTGGGCTCGCGGTGGCGGCCTAGCCCACAGCGTCCGATTTGCTGGGGGCCTCCCGAGCCTGGAGACTGAGTGACCCACCCCTCCTGCCTAAGGGACGCTATCTTCAAGAACCGGAAGAGACCACTCCCACCCCCACCCCGCCCCTGCTTTCGCTCTTCTCTGCAATGGGGTCTCCGAAAGGAGAAGACTGCAGCCCTGTGACCCTGGAGGTTTGCGCTCTCCTATGCTGTCTCAAAAAACTGCCTCCTTCTAGGCAAGGGCTTCCAAACCCTCATCCTGATCTCACCTTCAGCCTTACCCGCCAGCTATGATCCACTCGACTGTGAACTTAAACTCGGCATAGCCTAAAACAAGCCCAAACTTCTCACCCGTTTTCACTCCTAGGCTTGAGAGCTCAGTATGTAGAGTTCCTCACTTCCTCATCCCTCCAGCCTCTCAAATCTATCACCCCTTCTCCGTGGCCACCGTTTCAGCCAGATCTTTGCATTCCAAACACAACAGAAAGTAGGAAGTGCCCTCTCAAAGGTGGGTCTGCTGAACCTCTGCTGATACTCTCTTTGCAGCAAGTCATCTGACCTCCCTCCTCCAGAGACTCAGCCCTCTGCCCCCCGCCTGGACCCCTGTGTCAGTACCTCTTGAATGGCCACTTCTGCCCATGGACAAGAAAGGGAGGGAGTCTGAGTTCTTACCAAGCTCCTCAGGCCATTCTGATGCTCATCAAAGTGTGGGAAAGCCCGGTGGCTCACGCCTGTAATCCCAGCACTTTGGGAGGCTGAGGCGAGTGGATCACCCGAGGTCAGGAGTTTGAAACCAGCCTGACCAACATGGAGAAACCCCATCTCTACCAAAAAGTACAAAATTAGCTGGGCATGGTGGTGCATGCCTGTAATCCCAGTTCAGAGAATTCAGGATTCAGGAGAATCGCCTGAATTCGGGAGGTGGGGGTTGCAGTGAGCGGAGATCGTGCCATCGGACTCCAGCCTGGGCAACAAGAGCAAAACTGCGTCTGAAAAAGAAAAAAAATGTGTGGGAACCACTGCTTTGGGTGGTGACCTGTTTTCTTTTATTGAAGTAGAAACACTAACCATTATGCAGAGTCCCTAGAGGAGTGGCCATGGGGATTTGGGGGCAGAGGAGGGCTTGGGGGACATCAGTTACCCCGAGGAGCCTGAAAAGAAGAAAAACAGCCCACCTTACATGGATGCCTTTCTTGGATCTTAGCCAGCTCAAGCCCCAGCTCAGGAAAACCTTCCCTGAGCTCCCTTTCATCTGCTTGCATAGCACTGACCTCTGCACTGCAAATAGATATTCATTTGTGTGATTCTGTTTTCTCTTCTAAAAATCCTAATGGTAAAAACCATATCTGTTTTTGCTCACCTCTCTTTTTCTTTTTTTTTTTTTTTTTTGAGACGGAGTCTTGCTCTAGTCACCTGGCCTGGAGTGCAATGGCATGATCTTGGCTCACTGCAACCTCTGTCTCCTGGGTTGAAGCGATTCTCCTGCCTCAGCCTCCTGAGTAGCTGGGACTACAAGCACCCCCCACGACGCCCAGCTAATTTCTGCATTTTTAGTAGAGACGGGGTTTCACCATGTTGGCCAGGCTGGTCTCGAACTCCTGACGTCGTGATATGCCCACCTCGGCCTCCCTAAGTGCTGGGATTACAGGCATCAGCCACTGTGTTTTGTTGTTGTTGTTGTTGTTGTTTTGAGATGGAGTCTTGCTCTTGTCGCCCAGGCTTGAGTGCAGTGGCACGATCTCGGCTCACTTCAACCTCCGACTCCCGGGTTCAAGGGATTCTCCTGCCTCAGCCTCCTGAGTAGCTGGGATTACAGACATGCACCACCACACCCAGTGAATTTTTGTACTTTTAGTAGAGGTGGGGTTTCACCATATTGACCAGGCTGGTCTCAAACTCCTGACCTCAGGAGATCCCTCCACCTCAGCCTCCCAAAGTGCTGAGATTACAGGCTTGAGCCACGGTGCCCAGCCTCACCTCTCATTCTTAAATCCCAGCTCCTGGTACATAGTAGGTGTTCTGTAATGTAAGATAACTAGCTTGGGCACAGTGGATCACTTGATCCCAGGAGTTCAAGACAAGCCTAGACAACATGGTGAAACCCAGTCTCTACAAAAAATACAAAAAATTAGTTGGGCTTGGGGGCACACACCTGTAGTCACAGCTGTTTAGGAGGCTGAGGTGGGAGGATCACCTGAGCCTGGGAAGTCGAGGCTGCAGTGAGCCAAGAGTGCCACTGTACTCTAGCCTGGGTGATGTGAGTGAGACCCTGTCTCAAAAAACCAACAAACAAAAAGATCACAACTGACATCTATAATTACAAGTCCATAGATAACTTTCTTTTTCATTCTTTTATTTATTTATTTTTTTTGAGATGGAGTCTTGCTCTGTTGCCCAGGCTGAAGTACAGTGGTGTGGTCCCGGCTCACTGCAACCTCTGCATATTGGGTTCGAGCAGTTCTCCCACCTCAGCCTCCTGAGTAGCTGGGACTCCAGGCATGCACCACCATGCCTGGTTAATTTTTGTATCTTTCTTCTTCTTTTTTTTTTTTTTTTGAGACAGTCTCACTCTGTCGCCCAGGCTGGAGTGCAGTGGCGCGATCTCAGCTCACTGCAAGCTCCGCCTCCCGGGTCCCCACCATTCTCCTGCCTCAGCCTCCCAAGTAGCTGGGACTACAGGCGCCCACCACCACGCCTGGCTAATTTTTTTGTATTTTTAGTAGAGACGGGGTTTCACCGTGTTAGCCAGGATGGTTTTGATCTCCTGACCTCGTGATCCGCCTGCCTCAGCCTCCCGAAGTGCTGGGATTATGGGCATGAGCCACCACACCCGGCTAATTTTGTATTTTTAGTAGAGATGGGGTTTCTCCATGTTGGTCAGGCTGGTCTCAAATTCCCGACCTCAGGTGATCCACCCACCTCGACCTCCCAAAGTGTTGGTTGGGATTGTAGGCGTGAGCCACGGTGCCCAGCTTTTTTTTTTTTTTTTTTTTTTTTGAGACTGAGTCTCACTCTGTTGCCCAGGCTGGAGTGCAATAGTGTGATCTCGGCTCACTGCAACCTCTGCCTCCCGGCTTCGAGAGATTCTCCTGCCTCAGCCTCCCAAGTAGCTGGGATTACAGGCACCCACCACCACGCCAAGCTAATTTTGTATTTTTAGTAGAGACAGGGTTTCACTGTGTTTGTCAGGCTGGTCTCAAA
Organism: Homo sapiens; assembly: GCF_000001405.40. Lineage (NCBI taxonomy): Eukaryota > Metazoa > Chordata > Mammalia > Primates > Hominidae > Homo > Homo sapiens. Next base: position 3,206,183 of record NC_000020.11, on the reverse strand, counting down.
CTCCTGAGTTCAGGTGATCCACCCACCTCAGCCTCCCAAAGTGCTGGGATTACAGGTGTGAGCCACCTCGCCCAGCCCATATTTTTTCTTTTTCTTTTTCTTTCTTTCTTTCTTTTTTTTTTTTTTTTGAGACAGAGTCTTGCTCTGTCGCTCAGGCTGGTGTGCAGTGGTGCAATCTTGGCTCACTGCAACGTCCGCCCCCTGGGTTCAAGTGATTCTCCTGCCTCAGCCTCCCGAGTAGCTGGGATTACAGGCATGTGCCACCACGCCCCACTCATTGTTTGTATTTTTAGTAGAGACAGGATTTCATCACGTCAGCTAGGCTGGTTTTGAACACTTGACCTGAAGTGATCCGCCCACCTCGGCCTCCCAAAGTGCTAGGATTACAGGGGAGAGCCACCTCATCTGGCCCGTATTTTTTCAAATCCCTTTCTCACCATTGTTCATTGGTCCTGAATTTATTTTTATTTATTTTTATTTTCTGAGACAGGGTCTCACTCTATCACCCAGGCTGGAGTGCACTGGCATGATCATGGCTCACTGCAGCCTCGACCTCCCTGGGCTCAGGTGATCTTCCCACCTCATCTTCCCAAGTACCTGGAATCACAGGTGCATGCCACCACACCTGGCTAATTTTTGTATTTTGTAGAGACAGGGTTTCATCATGTTGCCCAGGCTGGTCTTGAACTCCTAGGCTCACCTCTACCTAGACTTCCCAAAGTATTGGGTTAACAGACGAGCCTCTGTGCCTGGCTCCTGAAATAAATCTTTACTTCTGTTATCATGTATACAAAAAGCTTAATAAATTCCAGTACTGCCCTCCCCTCCCCTCCCCTTCCCCTCAAAAGAAAGAAAGAAAGAAAGAAATTCAGTGTCACAGATACAGCAAAACCCCAACCCGCTTCCCTCCTCCTAGAGGTAATCGCTATCCTGAAGTTGGTGTGCATCAGTCCCAAGCCTCTTTTCGTACTTTTTCCACGGTTGTTTCCATAAACACTATGTGGGATTGTTTAGTGATTTTTAAAACATATATAGTCCGGGCGCGGTGGCTCACGCCTGTAATCCCAGCACTTTGGGAGGCCAAGGTGGGTGGATCACAAGGTCAGGAGTTCGAGACCAGCCTGGCCAACACGGTGAAACCCCCATCTCTACTAAAAATACAAAAATTAGCCGGGCGTGGTGGCGGGCGCCTGTAATCCCAGCTACTCGGGAGTCTGAGGCAGGAGAATCGCTTGAACCTGGGAGGTGGAGGTTGCAGTGAGCCGAGATCGCACCACCGCACTCCAGCCTGTGCGACAGAGACTCCGTCTCAAAAAAAAAAAACATACATAGATGTTTTCTACTGGACATACCGTCTGCTATAATTTCCTCTTAACATTGTGGGTTTCTTTACACCCCCCAAACTCATTTTAATGTCTGACATTAAAGCCTCTCTGTGATGTGCCGCTGGGCGGGGCTCCGAGTAGTGGGCGGAGTCTAGATTGGGAAATAGGGGCGGGGCCTATGAGATCCCGGCCTCAGGGTGGACGCAGTGGTTCTGCACTGAGGCCCTCGTCATGGTGGCGCCTGTGTGGTACTTGGTAGCGGCGGCTCTGCTAGTCGGCTTTATCCTCTTCCTGACTCGCAGCCGGGGCCGGGCGGCATCAGGTAGGAGATGCCGCTGCACCAGGGTTGGTGGTACCGGGTTTTCTGGCCTTCTGAGCCTTTGTGGACCGTCGCGCCGCGGCTCCTGCGCGTGCGCACCTGGGCGGGCGGGACGCATGCGCGTCCGTGCGCTAGTCGTGTGCCGGGTGGGGCTTCCGCAGTGCCCTACCTGGAATCGGTGGCCGCGCCGCTACCCCTTTCTCTCGACTCCAAGCCAGAGTCTGGCCTCATCCCTCTCTTCACCCCCGGGAACTCCATACCTCCAAAGGCCTGAGGCCCTGGCCGGCGCACACTCCCATCCGTCACCGTCGGGGCCCTTTCCCTCTGCACCTGTTAGGGAGGCCGCAGGGGTTTTCCATTCCTCCCAGCCTGGCTCCAGAGCAGGTGCCAGGAAGGGGGCATCTGAATATTTTCTGCCTGTCCCCCACGAGCTGGAGAAGCGCGAGGCGGCTCCAGGAAATTCCTGAAGCTCTCTCCCTTCCCGCCAAGGAGAGGGCCCACTCTCCCTCCCCAATCCGCTCCCCGATCAGAAGGCCATGTCATTGGCCAGGGCACAGAACAGATACACCCATCCTCCCTCTTTCCCCCCATTTCTGGTCAGCGGGCGGGTTTGTATATGTGTTTTCCTGCTCCCTGGGCCCACAAGCTACCTCTGAGCACCTGCGCGCTCCCAGGAGCGGAAGGGACACGCTGAGGGAAGGCGGAGATCCAGCAGGTCTTCCCGGGGGAGGCTCGGCCACCGCCGGGAAGTGTACTCTCTGGCTGGGGAGCCAGATAAAACCACAGGTGGTGTTAGGCGAGAAATCAGTGGATTCCTGCAGGGGGTACTCGATGAGAGCTGGGGACATCAGGATAGGGGCCTCCTGACAGGCCAGCTGGAAAGGTGGAGCCGGGAGGGGAGAGGAGTATTCACACAGGCCCGAGGGAAGGGCTGAGCCCCCGCCTGGGACCAAGCTGTGGGCCTGGTGGAAAAGGCCTTGCCAGTCAGACTGAGAAGTCGGGGCCTTGTGCTGTGGGCAGCAGGCCGCTAAGCAGAGGAGGTGAGGCTTCCGGGCTGCCGCTCCTCCTGCCATGGGCCGGGCTGGGCTTATAGGCAGCATTGTCATTTCTGTCTTCCCTACAGCCGGCCAAGAGCCACTGCACAATGAGGAGCTGGCAGGAGCAGGCCGGGTGGCCCAGCCTGGGCCCCTGGAGCCTGAGGAGCCGAGAGCTGGAGGCAGGCCTCGGCGCCGGAGGGACCTGGGCAGCCGCCTACAGGCCCAGCGTCGAGCCCAGCGGGTGGCCTGGGCAGAAGCAGATGAGAACGAGGAGGAAGCTGTCATCCTAGGTGAGAGGGGCCCAGCCTGGTGGGGAGAGGGTTTGGGTTGGAGGGGGGGATAAAAGGGCCCCCAAAGCTAAGTGGGGGAGTAGGGTATGAAGCCTCAGGGTAGGAGGGACGTCTGGGAGCCACACGGTAGAGTAGGGGGGGACTTGGGACCTGGCATTTGTTCCACTGGGTCAACCCCCCCTACCTTCATCTTGGCTCTCAGTGTCCAAGCAGAGGGCAAGGGTCTTCAGTTTGATTCAGAATGTTCCTCAATTCACCCCTTCTATCCTCGCACCCTTCCTGTTATGGGCACACTTATTCCCTGAGGATTTCACCCTAGAGGCAGAGTGCCTGGCCAAGAGTTTCTGCAGTTCCTGGAGTGGGGTCACCCACAACCCCAGGAAAACAGTTTAAAGATAGAGACATTCTGTTGACACAGAGGCCTCCATATCCCTGCTTCCAGGAGACCAGGAGAGCCCTCAGGATTGTCTTCTCCAGTACTTGGCAGCTGGCTTGAGCCTGAGGAGGGGGCGTCTGGGCGTTTCTCAGAAACTGGGGGCATTTGAGGCTTTTGCCTTGTACCTTTGGGGATTATCCCTTTAGCTCAAGAAGAGGCCCTTTCTTTGCCGTACCTTCTGGCTCAGACTTGGGTTCAGAGACCCTTGCTGCACAGGCATCAGTGGGTCTTTAACTTGCAGCTGGCCCTGAGGTAGTCATAGTGTTGGGACTGTCATTTCAGCCAGGGTTTGATGGGCAAAGGGATAATCCTGGCCAGGGACTAAGCCCAGAATCCTCAGCAACTCCTGACGATTGTGAGGAGGATTTCAGATTTGAGGCGGGATAAATTTCCTCATGGGACTTCCCTTGCCTGGGGGTTTGGCACCAGAGACAGAAGCCAGAGAACTCTGGAGTTCATTAGCCAGGATATTTAAGGTACATTAGGTGAGACCAGCATTCAGAAAGGTAAAAAACCCTCTCTGGGCCGGGCGTGGTGGCTCACACCTGTAATTCCAGCACTTTGGGAGGCCAAGGAGGGTGGATCACGAGGTCAGGAGATCGAGACCATCCTGGCTAACAATACAAAAAATTAGCCGGGCGTGATGGTATGTGCCTGTAGTTCCAGCTACTTGGGAGGCTGAGGCAGGAGAATGCCATGAACCCGGGAGGTGGAGCTTGCAGTGAGCCGAGATCGCGCCACTGCACTCCAGCCTGGGCGACAGAGCGAGACTCCGTCTCCAAAAACAAATAAACAAACAAAAAAAACCCTCTCTGGGCTGGGCATGGTGGCTCACGCCTGTAATCCCAGCACTTTGGGAGGCCGAGGCGGGTGGATCACGAGGTCAGGAGATTGAGACCATCCTGGCTAACATGGTGAAACCCGGTCTCTACTAAAAATAAAAATAAAAAAATCAGGGGGGCATGGTGGCTGGCGCCTGTAGTTCCAGCTACTCGGAAGGCTGAGGCAGGAGAATGGCGTGAACCCAGGAGGTGGTGCTTGCAGCGAGCCGAGATCGCGCCACTGCACTCCACCCTGGGCAACAGAGCGAGACTCCGTCTCAAAAAAAAAAAAACCAAAAAAAACAACCCTCTCTCCTAATGCCTCCCCTATGCTGTATTCTGGCTTATCAGCCACAGTACCTTAAATATCCAGGCAGCGCTATCTGTGACCCCGAGACACTTGCATATTTTAATCTGATACCTCCTTCTTTGTGGCTATGCAATATCTAAAGTTCTCATCTTTTTTTTTTTTTTTTTGAGACAGAGTCTTGCTCTGTCACTCAGGCTGGAGTGCAGTGGCGTGATCTCGGCTCACACCACTTGGCAGCAGATCTCGGCAAGCTCTGCCTGCTGGGTTCATGCCATTCTCCTGCTTCAGCGTCCCTAGTAGCTGGGGCTACGGGTGGCCACCACCACACCTGGCTAATTTTTTTTTTTTTTTTTTTTTTGAGACAGAGTCTCGCTCTGTCGCCCAGGCTGGATGGAGTGCAGTGGCGCGATCTCCGCTCACTGCAAGTTCCGCCTCCTGGGTTCACACCATTCCCCTGCCTCAGCCTCCCGAGTAGCTGGGACTACAGGCACCCGCCACCATGCCCGGCTAATTATTTTTGTATTTTTTTTTCCCCTGAGACAGTGTCTCACTCTGTCGCCCAGGTTGGAGTGCAGTGGCGTGATCTCAGCTCACTGCAAGTTCCGGCTCCTGGGTTCACATTATTCTCCTGCCTCAGCCTCCTGAGTAGCTGGGACTACAGGTGCCCGCCACCACACCCAGCTAATTTTTTGTATTTTTAGTAGAGATGAGGTTTCACCATGTTAGCCAGGATGATCTCGATCTCCTAACCTCGTGATCCGCCCACCTTTGCCTCCCAAAGTTCTGGGATTACAGGCATGAGCCACCGTGCCCAGCCCTTTTTTGTACTTTTAGTAGAGATGGGGTTTCACCATGATTGCCAGGATGGTCTCAATCTCCTGACCTTGTGATCCACCCACCTCGGCCTCCCAAAGTGCTGGGATTACAGGCTTCAGCCACCGTGCCCGGCCTAAAGTTCTCATCTTTTCCCTTGCCCTATGGGCCCCTCACCGTTCTCCCATCCCTACATATTCATGCACACACACACACGCACTCATGGCAGATGCCTCTGGAGGGCAGAGCTGGGCTAGTGACATTTGCAGGTGGGTGGAAGGGGATCCCCCTGTTAGGGGAGGGACGAGGGGTTGGGGATCCATCGTCATCAGTCCTCTCTGGTCAGAACCTGAACTGTCTTTCTTTGACCATACCCAGCCCAGGAGGAGGAAGGTGTCGAGAAGCCAGCGGAAACTCACCTGTCGGGGAAAATTGGAGCTAAGAAACTGCGGAAGCTGGAGGAGAAACAAGCGCGAAAGGCCCAGCGTGAGGCAAGCCGGAGGGATGGGGTGCAGCTCTGGGAAGTGCGAAAGGGCACTGCCTTCCTTTTTCCCTAAGGCAGACTGAGGGCTTGTTGCCTGCTGGGCTGGTGTTTGCTGCTTCCCTGGCTCTGTCTCCTGCCGCCTGGGTCTGTGCCCTGGCCCAGGCATTGCCTTCCCTAGTCTGTCTGGGCGGTGGGCACACTCTAGCCGGGGGTGAGGGATGTGCCCCTATGAAGACCTCTCTCCAGGCAGAGGAGGCTGAACGTGAGGAGCGGAAACGACTCGAGTCCCAGCGCGAAGCTGAGTGGAAGAAGGAGGAGGAGCGGCTTCGCCTGGAGGAGGAGCAGAAGGTGAGGCCAGCCCCTACCCTGACCTCTGACCCTTGACCAGGCAAGGCAGCCTTGCTTCTTATGCAGCTCCCTGGCACCTCCAACCTAGAAGGTGGGCCATAGACCTGGCACAAGGGCAGGTCCTGGTTTATTTGGTCCCTAGGCTCCACCACAGCCTAGAAAAGCCACTGCTGAAAAGCAGAGCCTGGAGTGGGGATTTTTGTGCACGTGACTATTGAACTTTCGGGGAGCATGTGAGGAACGCGAGGCGAGGAGGATAGCTGGGCAGAGAAAGCCAGGAGAGGAGGAGAAGATGGCAGAGAGGTGATGGGGGTCTGGATCCTGAAGGCCTTGAGGCTGAGGAAGATCATTGTAAGAGATGGTTCTTACATCGAGGGCCTGGCATACAGAAGGTGCTCAGGGAATGGGGTCCACTGCAGTAGTGACTAATGAACATTTGTTTGCCAGATGCTTTCTTTGTTCTGAGAACCAGGTTTCCCAAAAAGAGAACACCATAAAGATGTGGGGTACATAGGGTTAGAGCCAGGGCTGCCCTAGCTGGGAAGACCTGTGACCTCTGACTGACCTGTTGTCCCAGGATCCTGGATGGCAGGAAGCCTGGATGTGGGTGCTGTGGCTGATAAGCCAGAATACAGCATGGGGGAGGCATTAGCAGAGAGGGTTTTTTCCTTTCTGAATATTGGTCCCGCTTAATGTACCTTAAATATCCTGGCTCTTCTCCCCTGTAACCAGTTTCCCTTATCCTTAACGTCCTACCTCACTTTAATACCTTCCTCACAACTAATATTGACACATTATTGTTAACTAAACTCTAACATTATTCAGATTTTTCTTTATTGATTGATTAAGACAGGGTCTTGCTCCGTTGCCCAGGCTGGAGTGCAATGGCACGATCTTGGCTCACTGCAACCTCTGCCTCCCAGCCTCAAGCAATCCTCCCACTTCAGTTCCCCGTCCCTGCGAGTAGCTGGGACTATAGGTGTGCACCACCATGCCTGGCTAATTTTTTTTTTTTTTTTTTGGTAGAGATTGGGTTTCACCGTGTTTCCCAGGCTGCTTTTGAATTCCTAGACTCAAGCAATTCTCTTCCCTTGGCCTCCCAAAGTGCTGGGATTACAGGTGTGAGCCACCACACCTGACCCCATTATTCATATTTTATTTGTTTTTTCCCAGTATCCTTTTTCTTTTCCAGGGTCCCATCTAGGATGCCATGTTACATTTAGTGGTCATGTCTCCTTAGGCTCTTCTGTGTCATGACAGTTTATCAGAATTTCTGTTTTGTTTTTTTTTTTTTTTTTTTGAAACGGAGTTCCACTCTTGTTGCCTAGGCTGGAGTGCAGTGGCATCATCTTGGCTCACCACAACCTCCACCTCCTGGGTTCAAGCAATTCTGCTGCCTCAGCCTCCCAAGTAGCTGGGATTACAGGCATGTGCCACCACGCCCGGCTAATTTTGTATTTTTAGTAGAGACGGGGTTTCTCTATGTTGGTCAGGCTGGTCTCGAACTCCCGACCTCAGGTGATCCACCCACCTCAGCCTCCCGAAGCGCTGGGATTACAGGCGTGAGCCACTGCACCAGGCTTTTTTTTTTTTTTTTTGAGACAGAGTCCCTCTCTGTCTCCAGGCTGGAGTGCAGTGGCACGATCTCGGCTCACTGCAACCTCTGCCTCTTGGGTTCAAGTGACTCTCCTGCCTCATTCTCCCGAGTAGGTGGGACTACAGGTGCACCACCACGCTCAGCTAATTTTTATATTTTTAGTAGAGAGAGGGTTTCACCATGTTGGCCAGTATGGTCTCAATCTCTTGACCTTGTGATCCTCCTGCCTTGGCTTCCCAAAGTGCTGGGATTACAGGCATGAGCCACTGTGCCCGGCCTTTTTTTTTTTTTTTTTTTTTTTTTAAGAGAGATGGAGTCTCACTCTCACCCAGGCTGGAGTGCTCACTGCACCTTCAAACTCTTGGGCTCAAGCAATCCTCCTGCCTCAGCCTCCCTAGTAGCTGGGGCTACAGGTGTGCACCACTGTGCCCAGCTAAGACTCCTTGCTTTTGATGATCTTAACCTTTTTTTTTTTTTTTTTTGAGATACAGTCTTGCTCTCAAGGCTGGAGTGCAGTGGCGCGATAGCTCACTGCAACCTCCACCTTCAGATTTCAAATGATTCTCCTGCTTCAGCCTCCCAAGCAGCTAGGATGACAGACGTGCACCACCACACCTGGCTAATTTTTGTATTTTTGGTAGAGGCGGGGTTTCACCGTATTGGCCAGGCTGGTCTTGAACTCTTGACTTCAGGTGATCCACCCACCTCAGCCTCCCAAAGTGCTGGGATTACATGTGTGAGCCACTGTGTCCAGCCTTAACAATTTTGAGGAGTCCTGGGCAAGTAGTTTGTAGAAGGTCCCTTAATTTGAGTTTGGTTGATGTTTTTCTCATGGTTAGACTGGGGTTATGGATCTGACTGAAGAAGACAATAAGTGAAGTTCCATCTTCAATGCAACATACCAAATATGCAAGTTATCCGCTTCACTTGTCCCTAATGTTGTTAACCTTGGTCGCCTGGCTGCGGTTTTGTTTGCCAGCTTTCTCCACTGTAATGTGACTGTTTTTTTCCCCTCTTCCCGTATTTCTTTGGAAAGAAGTCACTGTGCACAGCCCACACTTAAGGGTTGGGGAGTTAGAGTTCTTACATAAATTATATGGAAATCTCTTACAGGAGATATGTCTCTCCTTCCCTATTCATTAAATATTCATGCAGTCTTTTTTTTTTTTTTTTTTTTTTCTGAGATGGAGTCTCACTCTGTCATCCAGGCTGGAGTCCAGTGGCGCAATCTGGGCTCACTGCAACCTCCGCTTCCCAGGTTCAAGCGATTCTGCTGCCTCAGCCTCTCGAGTAGCTGGGATTACAGGCACCCGCCACCACACCCAGCTAATTTTTGTATTTTTAGTAGAGACGAGGTTTCACCATGTTGGCCAGGATGGTCTTGAACTCCTGACCTCAGGTGATCCGCCTGCCTCAGCCTCCCAAAGTGGTGGGATTACCAGCGTGAGCCACCGTGCCCGACCAGCCATTTTTTTTATATTTGTATAGACTCATGAGTATTTATTTTGTACTTTGTGTTATAATCCAGTAACGTTATTTATTACGTTGTTGAGATTGTTCCAGCTTTGACCATTGGGAGCCCTTTCAGTTGGCTCCTGTGTACCTTTAACACACACTCGTTTTGTTTTTTGAGCACTTAGTTTCTGGCACTGCAAGATGCCCCAGACTCATCTTGTATATTACTTGCCTCAGCTTTAGCTTTCTGATTCTTGTTTTTGTTTTTGAGATGGAGTCTCGCTCTGTCCCCCAGGCTGGAGTGCAGTGGCACAGTCTCGGCTCACTGCAAGCTCTGCCTCCCAGGTTCACGCCATTCTCCTGCCTCAGCCTCCCGAGTAGCTGGGACTACAGGCGCCCACCACCACGCCCGGCTAATTTTTTTTTTGTATTTTTAGTGGAGACAGGGTTTCACCGTGTTAGCCAGGATGGTCTCGATCTCCTGACCTCGTGATCCGCCCGCCTTGGCCTCCCAAAGTGCTGGGATTACAGGCGTGAGCCACCACGCCCGGCTAGCTTTCCATTTAAAAATTTTTCTGAGTGCTCTGGAAAATGTGTTGGGTTGAGGGAGGCTGTTTTACCAGGCAGTAGTGGTGATGGAGCAACATAGACAGACCAGGGAGTTTTCTGGAAGTTAGAGAAAGAAGGGGTCAATAGGACCTCATTTCTGACCAGTTGGCTGTGTTAATTCACAGAGCCAGGGACCTAGGAGGAGGTCTAAACGTAGAAGAGTAGGTCCCAGGGTCTGTCTGCTGCCTGTGAGATGGCCCAGTAGCTGTGTCACATGGACCGTTGTGTGTTTGGGAGAAGAGATTCGGGTGGGGCTACAAGTGTGGTAGTCACTGGCAAGGAAGGGGTTGATGCTTTGGGCATGGGCGAGGTGGCCCAGAGAATGTGGAGGAGAGAGAAGAGGCAGGGCTGAATGATGAAGGAGGCGGGAAGAATGGCCCAAGGAGCAGGAGGAAATCCAGGAGAGGGTGGGATCTGGAAGCCAAGGGAGGAAAGAAGGATCACTGAGAGGACAGACATATGAGACCTGAAGGTTGTACCTTGAGTTTGGTGAGTGGAGGGCATGGGTGAGACTGTGGCAGGAGTTGTTTCATAGAACTGGGAACACAGAAGCCAGACTGGAGTGGGCTGACTGGGTGAGTGGGTGGTGAGGAAATGCAGGGTTCACATTTGCTTATGAGGTGTGGACATGACGGGGTATGCTTGGTGAGTTACACAAGGAGAGGATGGGGCAGGTGATTGGAGGGTATTGTAGAGTGGGGTCATGGCAGGGTTTTCAACAGATTTTTGCTAAGATCCCCTGAGCACGGAGGGCGGGAGAAGGGGCTGAGCAGCATTTGTCCAGGTGATGATGAAACCGATGACAAGAGGGGCCTCGGCCCATGGTTCAGCTTGGGGGAATGGAGAAATGGGGGTCCTGAAGGAGCTCTGTCTCTGAGAAAAGGCTGGGCTATATGCTCTGGTGTCCTGCAGGGGTAGCAGCAACCAGAACAGGTGCCTGCCCTGTTCTGCCCCCGATACCTGACTTTTGCCTCCTATGTCCACAGGAGGAGGAGGAGAGGAAGGCCCGCGAGGAGCAGGCCCAGCGGGAGCATGAGGAGTACCTGAAACTGAAGGAGGCCTTTGTGGTGGAGGAGGAAGGCGTAGGAGAGACCATGACTGAGGAACAGGTGGGCCTGCTGCCCCTGGGAAGCCCCTCTCTGCACCCATCAGTGCAGCCTGTGCCAGACGCAAGGCTAGCCACCCCATCCCAGACGCCCCTGGCCAGGCAGTGAGAGGTGGGTGGGCATCAGTACCAGCAGGCTTTAGTGGCCAGAGGCCTTGTCCTCAGCAGAGGCTGGTGCCTCCGAAACTCTCACCCTGGAAGGCTCTGCTGCTTGTGTAGGCAAGCGGTATGTGCAGGTGGTTGGGCGGGCCAAAGGCAGGCTGCAGGCAGGTGGCCCTCAAGTGAGCAGGTGGTACTTGGGTGAATGGGTACAGAACCCTGTGGGCTTGCTAGGGGGTGCTCACCCTGATTTCTCTGCTTCTCTAGTCCCAGAGCTTCCTGACAGAGTTCATCAACTACATCAAGGTAAGAAGCCACTGAACAGAGCCTGAGTGTCAGCTCCCTGCCTGGCATGTGCAGGTTGGATGCCTCCAGCGGGGGCTGCAGGCAGGGCATTCAGGCTCATGCAGGAGTGGACAGGGGGGCCCAGAGGGGCAGAGCCGCAGGGTCCTGGCCAGGAGAGTTTCTCTCCCTCCAACCCCGAAGGTGGAGAAGGACCTGGGTCTGTGTGGGAGGCGCAAGCCTTTGATCACTTCCTCACACTCAGTTTGACAGTTTCCCTGCTCTTCAGACCCCACGCTCAGTGAGTCAGTGTGTTTTCAAGTCTCTTCACATGTGTTTTCTGTCAGTTCTGTCACACTGAGGCTCCACTGAGTTGAAACAAGCATCCTCTGCCATGTGCTCCTGACTGGGAACTTGGGTCTTTCAGGGGGAACAGGATGGTGTTTCCTTTGGAGTTTAGGGTGGGGCGGCAGTGTGTCCCCTTCTGTCCGCAGCCACTGCGCAGGCCGCCTCGATGCTGCTCCAGGTTGCATAAGCACATCCTACTTTGCTTTGCTGCTAAGCAACTTCTCTCCCACGAAGGATGCCATGAGGGGAGAGGTTTTCAAGTGCAACTCAGAGGTGCAGAGGCGGCTGAGGGAAGGAGTGCAGAGGGAGCGGGGGCGGTGGTGGGGGTGCTACCAGGGGCTGCCAAGGACCCAGGGCTTGCATAATCCTCCCGCCACCTCTCCTGAAAGAGAGCAGGGTTTAGACGCCTGCCAGCAGCGAGGGGCTGGGCTCACAGCCTTGAGTCTGGGGTTCTTAAGTGGGGGAAATGCTGGCAGCTTTGAGAGGGTCCTGTCTGTTCAGGCTGTGTGCACTCCCCTCTCATGGAGCCCTCTCTCTACCCTGGCACACTTGATTAGGGGCTGTGGCCGGGCAGGTTATTTCTCACACTTGCCTGCTGCTGTTTGGAACTTGTCCCCACCTACCCAGTAGGCAGTAAGATGGTCCTGAAGCCCCTCCCCAGGAAGCCTTCCCAGGTGGAATTAGAGGAGGGGGTCAGCTTCAACATCCCCCTTTACTCTGCAGAAACCAGAAGAAAGGTCCCCAGTTCTAGCCCTCACTTTTGGTGGCTCCCTGGAGGTAACTATTCTCTGGGAGTTCTCCAAACTCTTTTGGAGCTTAGAAGTTTTTCCAGCTTGTCCGGGCATGGTGGCTCACGCCTGCAATCCCAGCACTTTGAGAGGCCGAGGCGGGCAGATCACTTGAGGTCAGGAGTTTGAGACTAGCCTGGGCAACATGCTGAAACCCCATCTCTGCTAAAAATACAAAAATTAGCCAGGCATGGTGGTGCACACCTGTAGTCCCAGCTACTCAGGAGGCTGAGGCAGGAGAATCACTTGAACCCAGGAGGTGGAGGTTGCAGTGAGGCAAGATGGTGCCACTGCACTCCAGCCTGGGCGACAGAGTGAGACTCTGTCTCAAAAAAAAAAGAAAAAAAGTTTTTCCAGCCTGTGCTGGCTAATTCTTCTAGAGCTGCTGTCTTGCAAGGAAAAGGAGGACTTCTGAAATTCAGTCTGTCTGCTTTCCTCCTTGCTCCAAGGGGATAGACCTTTTTTGCCTTAAGATTTCAGAACTGGAGGAACATGCCTGCACCCAGCATCGTTTATGAGAGGTGTAGGGTTCACTCGATCTTGTTCCATTCTCCTGTCTGACCATGGCTGGGCTCAGGCGATCTTCCTGCCTCTGCCTCCTGAGTAGCTGAGATTGCAGGTGGGTGCCACCACACCTAGCTTGTTTTATCAAACGTGTTTTGGCCCCAGCAGCACCTCAGGCCAGGTCATCAGGGAGCACCTGGGGTGACTTCATGTTCTCGCACCACACTGTCACTGAGAGCCCGCTGCCTGATCCCTGTTTTGTAGGTAGAGACCAGCTGACCACGTCACTTTGTCCTTGCCCATCCTGACCCAGCTGCCTCTCGCTTGCCTTCTTGCTTGTACATACGGCTTTGGCATTTCAAACAAGTCACATGCTATCTGCAGTCAGGGAGGTGTCACCATGTCAGTCCTCCCCCAGCTCATTTGCGGTGGAGGATTCACAGAAATGCAAAAGAACTGCCTTTTCTCAAGTCCTGTGCTGTGTGTTGGGGTAGTGGGGGCAGGTGCCTGTGTGGACACAGCGGTGGACCCTTCGCTGCGCCCTTGGGAACTCAGGTTTCTACTGAGGGTATGAAGAAGCACTTGGAGCACAGAACGTGGCTGTGCTGGAAAGCACTCAGCGGTATTAGTGACAGTGATTTCAAGGGTGGGCTCAGTGCCTCAGATGGTATAAAGAGGATGGATAAAAAGTGTGGGTGTGTCAGGTTGTGGGGGACCAGGCCAGTGGGGCGGCCAGCGAAGGCAAGGCAGGAGTGGGCCCCCACAGCCTCTACTGAGAGACCTTGGCTTGCTCGGGCTTTTATCTGCTCTCCCTCTTGTCCATGTACTCACCTGTCTCACCAGCCGGACTGCGAGCTCCAGGGCGGGGACTATGGCTTGTTCAGCATGTGTCCCTCCTACCTTCTCAGGGCCTTGTTCTAGTAGGTCCTCAGCAAGCATAAGTCCTGGTGACAGTTATTTAAAATAGCTTTTGGTGACTCTCACCGCCTCCTTCCTCCCTATGGTGCGTCCCCTTGAACTTGTCCATGATGTTAAAAAGAGATGGCTGGATGCAGAGGATGGTGGCTGCTGTGCTCTGATTACCACTCGTGTGTCTCGGAGTCCAGGACAGGGCCCATGAGGCAGGTGGTTGTTTTGGGTAGATTCCTTCCTCGCAAGAAGGGGAATGAGAGGGTTTATGATTGTGCGGGTCTCTGTCAATGGGTGATAGTGAGTGTGTGTGTGTGTGTGTGTGTGTGTGTCAGGGGAGCAAGGCTGTCCTACAGGAGTGTGTACAGTGTTTTTCCAGCCACCGAGAACAGATCAGATCAGAATGCAAACCTGGAGGGTGCCCATGCTTAGAGGGATTTGCCCAAGCTCAGCCTCTCTTTCTTTTCCTCCTTCTTTTTGTAGCAGTCCAAGGTTGTGCTCTTGGAAGACCTGGCTTCCCAGGTGGGCCTACGCACTCAGGTAAGCCCTGGAACGTGGCCTGCTGTGTGCAGTGTGGCCAGGGGTCTGTGGCTAGCAGAGAGGACCTGCCCTAAAGATAGAGTCTTGATGCACCGTCTACCTTGTCCCCAACCAAGAGTGAGTAGTGCACAGAAGTCTCCTGGCACCCTGGGAATCCTGCATTTTTAATGGACGAACAGGCAGGAAAGAAAAAAAAAACCCAAACCCCATCACTCTGCCAGCCCCTGTGACCAAAGCAGCCCAAATCAGTTACCTTGACAACTCTCATGCACAGACTGCACCAGCCTGTGTTGCAAACATCACTGCCCCGCTTCTAACAGGAAGAGATACTCTTTTGGGGGTCTTGCAGGGCCCAGGACCAGAGCCCCTTCTACCCAGGGCCCTTCCAAAGGCAAAGCACAGAGTCACATTTGGGCGTGGCATGAGAGGGAAATAAAGAGATTTGGCTGTAGTGGGAGGGAGGTTTCAGTGCTTTTTCTGGGGACATTGGTGCCTATCTCTATTCTGAGAGTTGTTCTCCTCATAGGACACCATAAATCGCATCCAGGACCTGCTGGCTGAGGGGACTATAACAGGTGAGATGATGAGAGCCAATCACTGCAGTCCTGGCCTTGGAGAGTGTCTAGCCACAGGGGCTGCAGGGATGTGCTGCAGAGGCAGGATGACCACCCAAGATGGGGGGAGGGGTGTGCAAGGAGGGGCACTGAGTAGCTGGATGCAGTTACAAGGAGGACATGCCAGGGCCTGGAGGTGGCAGCAGTGGGAGAGGACAGGCAGGGCAGCCTGATTCGACTCTCCTAGCAGGACTGGATGCAGCCAGGAAAGTCCAGGCAGGCAGGAGGCCGGAAGGGCCCTGAGCCAGCTGTGAAGGAGTAGGTGGGCATTCTCAGGCCAGATGGGGAACGCCCAGGAGGCCTCAGCCCCACAACCTGCATGTCCCCACAGGTGTGATTGACGACCGGGGCAAGTTCATCTACATAACCCCAGAGGAACTGGCCGCCGTGGCCAACTTCATCCGACAGCGGGGCCGGGTGTCCATCGCCGAGCTTGCCCAAGCCAGCAACTCCCTCATCGCCTGGGGCCGGGAGTCCCCTGCCCAAGCCCCAGCCTGACCCCAGTCCTTCCCTCTTGGACTCAGAGTTGGTGTGGCCTACCTGGCTATACATCTTCATCCCTCCCCACCATCCTGGGGAAGTGATGGTGTGGCCAGGCAGTTATAGATTAAAGGCCTGTGAGTACTGCTGAGCTTGGTGTGGCTTGGTGTGGCAGAAGGCCTGGCCTAGGATCCTAGATAAGCAGGTGAAATTTAGGCTTCAGAATATATCCGAGAGGTGGGGAGGGTCCCTTGGAAGCTGGTGAAGTCCTGTTCTTATTATGAATCCATTCATTCAAGAAAATAGCCTGTTGCACATTTACTCTGTTTCTTTGTGCCCTGCAAGCCCTGCCCCCAAGACCTAGATAAGATCTTTCTCTTCTTTTGCCCCCACTCAAATTAGAAGTGGGGAGCCTCTTGGGCCACATCTCTGTTAACTGGGGAGGGGAGGTCTCATGGGTCTTTTTTAACTGATCAGGAGCCCTAAGTAGGGCTGAGAGCCAGCGGGGAGAAGAATTAATGAGAAGCATCAAGGATAGAGTCCTAGGGAGCATCAGCCTTTAAGAAGGAGGGCGGGGGGTCAGTGAAGGAGAGAGCCATTTGCAGGGCAGGTAGAAGGAAGGAGAGGACCTGCTTGAGCTGGCTATAATTGTGCAGTGGAGGGAGGGACATTGCTCATGTGGGAAATCACATGAATTCAGCTCTACATCCTTGACAAAAAGTTTAAATGGTGTGGGTGATTCCACCCACTGGTGGATGTGAGAACCATATGCTCAGAAGTGGGTGGGATGGGAGGGAGGTGTGTACCTCCTGGAGGGTCGGTCACTCTGGTTCCTGTTGGCTGTTCATGGCGTGAGCATCCTGCTGTGCTGAGGGTGAGGCACATGTTTAAATGTGTATTTATGCAAAGTGGTCCCTAAACAGAAGCCCCCTACTTCCTCTGGTGCCTGATGGAGGAGGCAGCTTTCTGTTCCGGCCCAGGAGGAAACTCTCCCTGGATGGTGATGGGGAAACAGTACATCAGGTTCCAGGGCAGAGCCTTCCTTAGGAGTTGCCAAGGGTGTTTTTGACTCATTGGGTGCCATAAGCATTGACTGTAGAACCTAAATTCCAAGAAAGGTATGACTCTGCTACTTCCATCAGCAACGGGTACTTGTCATCACCTGGAGCGTGAAGGGCCACATGTATTGTTTGGAAGGCCATCTGGAGCCTACATTCTAGTAGGAGAGGGAAGAAACAGATGTAGCCAACCACAGTATGAGGTGGAAACATAAAATTACAAAGGGAAAAGAAGAGAATGACTTACAGTTAGATCACTGGTCCTTAGCCTGGTTGCTCATTGGATTCACCTGGGGAGTTTTTAGTCGTCTCATGCCAGCCCCGTTGCACCCAGGACCAGTCAAATCAGAATCTGTGAGGGCATAGTCAGGGAGCATGAGTAGGAGATTCCAGTGTGCAGCCAAAGTTGAGAGCTAGGGAACAGATGGGGGTGGGGTGGAGAGGCAGGCCAACAAGTTGCAAGTAATTCAAATCTCCATTGGAAGGGGCTTCTCACAGAGCAAGGCGGCAGCTCCAGGGCTCTCTAGTCCTTTCCCTCAGCTATCCTCTGCCACTGCCATGCAGATGGCAAGATGGCCAAGGCAGCCCCTGCCCCAGCATCCCATGCTCAGGACAGTACCCAAAGGCCAGGAGTGGGAAAAGGCACATTCCTTCCTTATATCCTGGAAGCACCCAGATATTCTTCATGTCCCATGGGCTTAGTGTGGAGGAAAAAAATCTATGATCCTTTGAGCATTATTTAGTGCTCAGTTAATACATTTATTAAATGAATAGTTTATTAAAAGTAAACATTTTTCTAAATATATACGAACTACTTTCACAACTAAAAAATGAAAAAATAAAGGGAAAAATGAAAATAAAATGAAATTTAATGCTTTTTTTTTTTTTTGAGGCAGTCTCGCTCTGTTGCCCAGGCTGTAGTGATCTCGGCTTACTACAACCTCCACCACCCAGGTTCAAGCGATTCTCCTGCCTCAGCCTCCCGAGTAGCTGAGATTACAGGAGCGTGCCACCACTCCCAGCTAATTTTTGTATTTTTAGTAGAGACGGGGTTTCACTTTGTTGGCCAGGCTGATCTCGAACTCCTGACCTCAGGCAATCTGCCTGCCTCAGCCTCCCAAAGTGCTGGGATTACAAGCGTGAGCCACCGCGCCCAGCCGTAGACCAGACATAGTATTATAATGATTACATTACTGATCTGTACATGTGACACTAAAACTGATCATAAACACTTCACAAGCTCTACTTTTTTTTTTTTCTTGAGTTGGAGTCTCACTGTCACCTAGGCAGAAGTGCACTGGCGCAATCTTGGCTCACTGCAACCTCCACCTCCCACGTTCAGTGATTCTCCTGCCTCATCCTCCCAAATAGCTGGGATTAGAGGCATGCGCCACCACACCTGGCTAATTTTTGTATTTTTACTAGAGACGGGGTTTCGCCATGTTGGGCAGGCTGGTCTCAAACTCCTGACTTCAAGTGATCCCCCCGCCTCAGCCTCCCAAAGTGCTGCATTACAGGCATGAGCCACTGTGCCCAGCCTTGCTAGCTCTAATTAAATTTTATTGATTCACTTATTTAGAGAGGGAATCTCGCTCTGTCGCCCAGGCAGGGGTGCAGTGGCGCAATCTCAGCTCACTGAAACCTCCACTTCCCGAGTTCAAGTGATTCTCCTGCCTCAGCCTCCTGAATAGCTGGAATTACTGGCGCCCTCCACCATGCCTGGCTAATTTTTTGTATTTTTAGTAGAGACAGGATTTTGCCATGGTTGCCAGGTTGGTCTCAAACTCCTGACCTCAGGTGATCCGCCCACCTTGGCCTCCCAAAGTGCTGGGATTATAAGCGTGAACCCCTACACCTGGCCTTTAATTTTTATTTTTGTCTGAGGGTAGTTTTCACTTACTCTGGAGCGCCAGGGTTACCGTGATAGCTGAGGACATAGCTATGACTGATGGATGATGATTCAGAACCAAGGACTCAAGACTTCATTGTAATTCTTTTTCATTTTTACTTATTTATTTATTTATTTTTTATTTATTTTTTTTGAGATGGAGTCTTGCTCTGTCACCCAGGCTGGAGTGCAGTGGCACAATCTTGGCTCACTGCAAGCTCCGCCTCCCAGGTTCACGCCATTCTCCTGCCTCAGCCTCCCAAGTAGCTGGGACTACAGGCGCCCGCCACCACACCTGGCTAATTTTTTGTATTTTTAGTAGAGACGGGGTTTCACTGTGTTAGCCAGGATGGTCTCGATCTCCTGACCTCGTGATCTGCCCGCCTCTGCCTCCCAAAGTGCTGGGATTACAGGTGTGAGCCACCGCGCCCGGCCAATTTTTATTTATTTTATTTTTATTTTTTTGAGACAGCCTCGCACTGTCGCCCAGGCTGGAATGCAATGGCGTGATCTCGGCTCACTGCAACCTCCACCTCCCGGGTTCAAGCGATTCTCCTGCCTCAGCCTCCCAAGTAGCTGGGATTACATGTGCCCACCACCACGCCCTGCTAATTTTTTGTATTTTTAGTAGAGATGGGGTTTCACTATGTTGGCCAGGCTGGTCTTGAACTCCTGACCTCATGATCCACCCGCCTTGGCCTCCTAAAGTGCTGGGATTACAGCCATGAGCCACCACGCCCAGCCAACTTCATTGGAATTCTACCTGAGTCTTTTACTTGTTGGGTAGTCCCTTTTTCTTTTCTTTTTTTATTAGTATTGTTATTTTTTTGAGACAGTCTCACTCTGTCACTCAAGCTGGAGTGCAGTGGCGCGATCTCAGCTCACTGCAACCTCCGCCTCCAGGGTTCAAGCGATTCTGCCTCAGCCTTCCAAGTAGCTGGGACTACAGGCACATGCCACCATGCCCGGCTAATTTTTGTATTTTTAGTAGAGACGGGGTTTCACCATGTTGGCCTCCCAAAGTGCTGGGACTACAGGCACGAGCCACCGTGCCCAGCCTGGTGGTCCCTTTTTCATAGTTAGATTTTGGAACCCTTGACTCTTGGCTCCAACCAATCAGATACATTTTGATTTTTGTAACTCTCAAGCAGTGCTTGTCCTGGGTGCCTTATCTTCACAGCCCAGCCCTACACAGGTCTATTGTGATACTACTTGCGCCCTATAGAGTCCAGTAACTTCTCTTTCTTGTGGATCTTCAAGGCTTATTATTGACAAGTTCTAGATTGGAGTTATATTACACAATTTTTCAAAAAATAGTTATTTACAAGATTAACCATGAGCTGAAAATTACTGAAAAACTGGGAATGGGTACATGGAGGTTGTGCTCATTTTCTTTCTTCTTTCTGGTTTTTTTGTTTGTTTTTTTGAGACAGAGTCTTGCTCTGTTGCCCAGGCTGGAGTGCAGTGGCGTGATCTCGGCTCACTGCAAGCTCCGTCTCCCAAGTTCATGCCATTCTCCTGCCTCAGTCTTCTGCGTAGCTGGGACTACAGGCGCCCACCACCACGCTCGGCTAATTTTTTATATTTTTAGTAGAGACGCGGTGTCACTGTGTTAGCCAGGATGGTCTCAATCTCCTGACCTCATGATCCACCCGCCTCGGCCTCCCAAAGTGCTGGGATTACAGGCATGAGCCACCGCGCCTGGCCTTGTTTTTGTTTTTAGGATAAGATCTAGCTCTGTTGCCCAGGCTGGAGTACAGTGGCACGATGTCAGGTCACTGCACCTCTGCCTCCCAGGCTCAAGCCATCCTCTCACCTCAGCCTCCTGAGTAGCTGGGACTTACAGGTGTGCACCACCATGCCCGGCTAATTTTTTAACTTTTTGTAGAGATGGGGTTTTGCCATGTTGCCTAGGCTGGTCTCGAACTCATGAGCTCAAGCAATCCACCTATCTTGGCCTCCCAAAGTGTTGGGATTACAGGCATGAGCCACTGCACCCAGCCATCTATTTTCCTACATGTTTAAACTTTTCTATAACAAAACATAAAGAGTCCTAGATGGCCTTGTGTATCCTTGGCTCATGCTAAACCTCAAGAAAAGGAGCTAAAATAGCTGGGTTATGTGGAGCTAAAGTAGCTGGGTTATGTGAAGCCACCGGTAATATGGTGGCAGTTCAGTGATTCCCCCAGGCTACCACAGTGATACTGATACTGGATGCATGTTGGATTTTTGTTTTTTGAGACAGAGTCTCACTCTTGCCCAGGCTGGAGTACAGTGGTGTGATCATGGCTCACTGCTGCCTCAAACTTCTGGGCTCAAGTGATCCTCCCACCTCAGCCTTTCTAGTAGCTAGGACTACAGGAGCACTCCACCATGCCCAGCTAATATATATATATATTTTTTCTCTTTTTGGTAGAGACGGGATCTCACTATGTTGCTCATGGTAGTCTCGAACTCCTGGGCTCAAGTGATCCTCCTACCTTGGCCTCGCAAAGCACTGGGATTATAGCCGTGTACCACTGCACCCAGCCTGTATTGAATCTTTGTAACAGAAAAGTATTTAAACACATCTGAAATATGTTGTTAAAAAATAACGTAATTTATGGGGAGCTTACTGAGTACAAGGCATGATTTTGAACACCCTAGGGAAGTACAGTGAGCAAAACATGGCCCCAGCCACAAGTAGGGGTTAGTGCAGTGGTATTTTTTTTTTTCTTTGAGACAGAGTCTCGCTCTGTCGCCCAGGCTGGAGTGCAGTGGTGCAATCTCAGCTCACTGAAAGCTCCGCCTCCTGGGTTCACGCCATTCTCCTGCCTCAGCCTCCCGAGTAGCTGGGACCACAGGCGTCCGCCACCACGCCCGGCTAATATTTTTGTATTTTTAGTAGAGACGGGGTTTCACCGTGTTAGCCAGGATGGTCTTGATCTCCTGACCTCATGATCCACCCGCCTTGGCCTCCCTAAGTGCTGGGATTACAGGCTTGAGCCACCGCGCCCGGCCAGTGCAGTGGTATTAATCTGACAGAGAGACCAATCAATCACAAGCTAGCAAGTGCACAGCCAGATGCTGGAGTGTATGAAAGGGACCAGTGGATAATAGGAGAGGCCTTCCAGGCTAGAAGGAGGACAGGTGCAGAGATCTGGAGTGGAGAATAAGGCCTGTGGTTCCCTGAGGGGAGCATGGAGTGTTGGGTGGAGGAAAGGCCAGGGCAAATGAGAGACAAAGCTGGAAAAGGAGGCTGGGACCTGGCTGGGAAGGTCTGAGCCCAGAGATCTGAGCTATGTTTGTTAAGTCTGGGTGGGGAAGAAGTGGGAATGTTTATTTACTTAGTGTTTTGAATCTGTTAACTCATTTCTTAAACCTTTACATCACTTTATCCCACAAATTGTCATTATACCATCAACTTCTCCCTCCACAAGCCACTGGACTATTTGAGAATATCCCTCAAGTCTTCATGCGTGCATGCCTCAGCCCCAAGATTAGAGACAGCTATTCCACTAAGGCTGTGTTTTCAGACTCTTTTAACAGTATCTCTTAGTAAGAAATCCATTTTCTTATGTGTGCATGTATGCATATA
Source organism: Homo sapiens (assembly GCF_000001405.40). Lineage (NCBI taxonomy): Eukaryota > Metazoa > Chordata > Mammalia > Primates > Hominidae > Homo > Homo sapiens. Next base: position 3,184,147 of record NC_000020.11, on the reverse strand, counting down.
GATCCATGAAGCAGGCGTTTCACAGTACAATCCTTTTGGTTTGATGCATGTTGATACTTGCCTCTCTATTCTATTTTATTGCCAATGGTGACTAAATTGATTTTACAACTCACTAACAGATCTTGACCTACAGTTTGAAAAACAGAGTACTGAAGAGTCTTGTTTCCTTTATTTAGAACAGTGCAAGGATGAGTATCTGGGTAGAGTTGTGCGTTGTACATAACCTTTGATAGTCATATAGTTGAACCAAAAACAATTTCTGTAGTGACATTGAAAAACATTTTGACTTGATTTATCCTGACAGCATACATAATTTTTGGCTGGCTAATACATTATCCGATTGTTAATTACAGCAAAATGGATAAGGGAACCTTATAAGAAAACCTACCAAATACCAATACTGTAACATTAAACTTATTTAAATATAACCTTTTGCGTATAGCTTGGTAGATTTACGCTGACTGGTTTTTTAGTCATTTTAACTTTCTATTTTACATTTACTATTTACATTTCTACCATATGACACAAAAACACATCTATAATATAATAAAACTAAAACTCTTAATGTTCTAACTGTTCAGAACTGAGTAACTGAGACTTAATTCCTCAATTGCTGTAAGAGATTTCCCTTTAGCTGTTTCTCAGCAAGGTAAGTCAAGTCACCTTGTTGAGCTAAACTCCACGGTTCCCTGTGTTGTTCACATAATAGTGTAGTTGTGCGGACATGTGCTTGCCGTCTAGTTGGGCAGTTGTCTTTTTTTTTTTTTTTTTTTTTGAGATGGACTTTCGCTCTGTCACCTAGGCTGGACAGTGGTGCCATCTCGGCTCGCTGCAACCTCCACCTCCTGGGTTCAAGCAATTCTTCTGCCTCAGTGTCCCGAGTAGCTGGGATTACAGGCACCTGCCATCATGCCTGGCTAATTTTTGTGGGGTTTTTTTTTTTTTTGAGACAGAGTCTCGCTTTTGTTGCCCAGGCTGGAGTGCAATGGCGTGATCTCAGCTCACTGCAACGTTCACCTCCTGGATTCAAGTGATTCTCCTGCCTCAGCCTCCCAAGTAGCTGGGATTACAGGCGTGTGCCACTATGCCTGGCTAATTTTTTTGTATTTTCAATAGAGACATGGTTTCACCATGTTGGTCATGCTGGTCTCGAACTCACGACCTCAAGTGATCCTCCCGTCTCAGCCTCCGAAAGTGCTGGGATTACAGGTGTGAGCCACCACGCCCGACCAATTTTTGTATTTTTGTAGAGATGGAGTTTCAGCATGATCCTCCCGCCTCAGGCACAGTGGCTCATGCCTATAATCCCAGCACTTTGGGAGGCCGAGGCAGGTGGATCACTTGAGCCCCAGAGTTTAAGATCAGCCTGGGCAACATGGTGAAACCCCATCTATACCAAAAAAAAGAAATTAGCCAGGCGTGGTGGTGTGCACCTGTAGTCCCAGCTACAGGAAGCTGAGGTGGGAGAATCACTTGAGCCTGGGAGGTGGAGGTTGCAGTGAGCCGTGATTGCGCCACTGTACTCCAGCCTGGGCAACAGAGTGAGACCCCATCTAACCAAAAAAAAAAAAAGGACCTACATGTTTCACATGTACATGTATGATGCAGAGGCACTCACTTGAAGTGGTGACTTGTGTTCCTTTTCGCTTTGTATCTAAATATCTTGAAATGAGGCTTACAGGGTATAGGTACAGATGAGTCCCTTAGTATCATATAAACAATGCATCAATTATATAAAAACAGAATCAGATGTTACAGGGGGACCCTGTGGAACACAGGAAAAACATAAACCATTTTCTATCTTAGGTAAAATGTGCAATTAGTAAAGAATAGTTTTAAGAAAGAGAATACAGTTTTTAATTTTTTGTATATTTTTCCTTTAACTTTTATATTTATTTATTTATTTATTTTTCATTTTTTGAGATGGAGTCTCACTCTGTCTCTCAGGCTGGAGTGCAATGGCACGATCTCAGCTTACTGCAACCTCTGCCTCCTGGGTTCAAGTGATTCTCCCGCCTCAGCCTCCCGAGTAGCTGGGATTACAGGCGCCTGCCACCACGCCTGGCTAATTTTTGTATTTTTTTTTTTAGTAGAGACGGGGTTTCACCATGTTGGCCAGCCTGGTCTCAAACTCCTGGCCTCAGGTGATCCACCCGCCTCAGCCTCCCAAAGTGCTGGGATTATAGGCATGAGCCACCACACTCAGCCTTAAATTTTATTTTTCATGGACCATGTGTGTGTGTGTGTGTATAAACATCAGCTCGGCTGGGTGCGGTGGCTCATGCCTGTAATCCCAGCACTTTGGGAGGCCAAGGTGGGTGGATCACCTGAGGTCAGGAGTTTAAGACCAGCCTGGCCAACATGGTGAAACCCCATCTCTACAAAAATACAAAAGTTAGCCAGGCATGGTGGGGGGTGCCTGTAATCCCAGCTACTCGGGAGGCTGAGGCGGGAGAATCACTTGAACCCAAGAGGCAGAGGTTGCAGTGAGCCGAGATCGTGCCGCTGCACTTCAGCCTGGGTGACAGGGTGACACTCTGTCTCAAAAAAACAAACAAACAAAAAACACATCAGCTTATCAAACGGTAATAAAAGACCCCAGCATTCTTGGATTATAATCATTTCAGTTACTTTTATATTGGTTTAGATAACCCCCAAGACCTTTACTGGTAATTCCCAGGAATTTTTGGCCCAATTCCAGAAGTTTTCATTTCCTCATAAAGTAAGCATAGCTATAAAAGGCTTTAGTACAAACATTCGAACTTTAGCATGAATTAAAGTGCCTTGTCTGCCCCCTAATTTGCTGTTCAGAGGTAACTGCAAGCAGTCATCTCAGAGAGGTAAACCCAGATCCCCTTCTGGACAACTTGGTGGGTAGGACCCCAAAGGATTGCAATAGTCTTTCCTAATTTGATAGGTTTTGATCTGCATCTCTTCAGTATCAGCGAGGATATAGATGTTTTCAACTACTTATTGGCTATCTGGATTCATAGTGATATATATATATATAGATATATAAAAAAATCTATCTATCTATCTATCTATCTATCTATCTATCTATCTATCTATCTGTCTATCTATCTGTCTATCTATCTGTTTTTTTGCGACAGAGTCTCGCTCTGTCACCCAGGCTGGAGTGGAGTGGCATCTTGGCTCACTACAACCTCCACCTCCCGGGTTCAAGTGGTTCTCCTGCCTCAGCCTCCCAAGTAGCTGGGATTATAGGCACGTGCCACCACGCCTGGCTAATTTTTGTATTTTTAGTAGAGACGGGGTTTTGCCATGTTGGCCAGCCTGGTCTCGAACTTCTGACTTCAGGTAATCCACCTGCCTCGGCCTCCCAAAGTGCTGGGATTGTAAGCGTGAGCCACCGTACCCGGCCCTAAGTGATATATTTCTTTTACCTATTTATCTGTAGACCTAGGGTTTTTGTGATTTCATTCATCATTCAACTAAGGAATGTTGTGTCTATTATGTATTTGTATTCATTTTCTAGTGCTGCTGTAACAAATGACCGAATCTTAGTGGCAAAAAACTACACAAACTTATTATCTTCTGCTTCTGTAGCATAGAAGTCCAGTGCGGGTCTTCTGTGCTAAAATCAAGGAAGGACTGTGCTCCCTTTCAAGGAAGGACTGTGCTCCCTTTCTGGAGGTTCTTTTCCAGCTAGAGGCCACCCACATTTCTTGGCTCATGGCCCCCTTCTTCCATCTGCAAAGCCAGTTATGTTGCATCTCTCTGATCATTCTTTCCTAGTCACATCTCCATCTCACTCTTTCTGCCGTCCTCTTTCACTTTTAAGAACGCTTGTGATGACACTGGGCCTGCCTGGATAATCCAGGCTAATCTTCCTATTTTAAGGTCTGCTGATCAAAGCCTTAACTCTATCTACAACCTTAATTTCGCTTGGCCATGTAACAACATATTCACAGGTTCTGGGAATTAGGATTTGGACATTTTGGGTGGGGGGCATTATTCTGCTTACTCTAGAGTATTAAGAGATACGATTTTTTAAATTTATATTTTAAATATATTTTTAAAGACAGTCAAAAAGGAAAATAAGTTTATGTGGACGAATAAACAGGTAAGCTCTGAAAATGTAGAAATAGCAAAGTATTAAGATATTAAATATTTGCCCAGCTGTGGTGGCTCACATCTGTTATCTCAGCACTTTGGGAGGCAGAGGCAGGAGGATTGCTTGAGGTCAGGAATTCATGACCGGCCTGGGCAACTTAGCAAGACCCCTTCTCTACAAAAAAATTTTTAAAAGGAAGCTGGGCATGCCTGTAGTCCTGCCTCCTCAGGAGACTGAGGCAGGCAGGAGGATCACTTGAGTCTAGGAATTCGAGGCTGCAGTGAGCTGATTGTGCCAAAGTGCAAAAATTACATTAGTGCCTAGACTCCTTTCTTCTGCCATATGACCTATGATCCCACCATCTCAAGGTGGCCCATGTTTAATCTTGTATGTATCTTTCCTGAATTTTCTATGCACGTACATATATATTCTTTGAAAAAGAATAGAGGGGCTGGGCATGGTGGCTCACATCTTTAATCCCAGGCACTTTGGGAGGCCAAGGCGGGCAGATCACCTGAGGTCAGGAGTTCGAGACCATCCTGGCCAACATGGTGAAACCCTGTTTCTACTAAAAATTTCTAATAAAAATTAGCTGGGCATGGTGGCAGGCACCTATAATCCCAGCTACTCGGGAAGTTGAGGCAGGAAAATCACTTGAACCCGGGAGGCAGAGGTTGCAGTGAGCCAAGATCATGCCACTGCATTCCAGTCTTGGTGACAGAGTAAGACTCCATCTCAAAAAAAGAAAAAAAAAAAAAGAGTAGGAGGACTCTCTGCTTTGGGGGCTGCTCAATAAATAAAAAATAATAATAGAAAAATTAGAGTACAGTAGGTTGATAGGTATACATATGATATGCCACAGCTTTTTTCACTTACTGTAGTCATCTTTCTGTGTCAACACATAGGCATCCATGTCCTTTTAAATATTAATAGCTGTCTATTGTTACATTGCATTGGATGCCTTGTAATTCATTTAATCAATCTTCTATTAATAGATTGATGTATTTAGGAGGTTTTTTTTTTTTTTTTACTTTTACATTCAGTACATTAGTGACTGTCTTCAGACATACATCATATTATTTGTGATGGTATCTCTTCCCAAGAAATGAGATTGCTGGGTCCAAGGATATACACATTTCATATTTTTATATACTACCAAATTGTCCTCCCAAAAGGTTGTACCAATTTATACCCTCAAAATGCTATGTGAGGCTAGGTGCAGTGGCTCACACCTGTAATCTCAGCACTGTGGGAGTGCTCAGCTCTCAGGTGGATCGCTTGAGCTCAGGAGTTTGAGACCAGCCTGGAAAACATGGCAAAAGCTTGTCTCTACAAAAACTACAAAAATTAGCTGGACATGCTAGTAAATGCCGTAGTCCCAGCTACTCGGGAGGCTGAGGCAGTAGAATCACTTGAACCCGGGAGGCGGAGGTTGCAGTGAGACAAGATCGCGCCACTGCACTCCAGCCTGGGCAAGAAGAGTGAGACTCTGTCTCAAAAATAAATAAATAAATAAAAATGTAAAAAATAAAAAGAACTATTGACTTGACTTCTGGTAAAATCAAGAGGGCCTCAAATGGTCTAGCTGTAAGCTGCCCTCCTGCTGTGTTCTGTGGGTAAGGTCCCCTAGCCAATCCTTTCATCAAATGAACCAGGAGCAGTTCCTGCTTATCTCTTAGTAGTAGGCTTCAGTTCCCTGCCAGCCTGTAGAATTATTCAAACAAGCCAGTTACCTCCCATGCAGGAACCAGGGAGCACCTCACTCTCTTATCACTACAAAGCCTGCCCTCCACAACCCCTGGTTGTTCTCTCCACTCCTGAGTACACCCCCTGTGTGGCCCTGCGTGGCTTGTGGTGTCCTTTCCCATTGAGTATGTTGTAACTAATAAACTGCGGTAAATCTCACCTGCCCAGTGTCAGGTGTTGTGTTTGGCCACTGCCATCACATGAGAGTGGGAACCCCTCCGTCAGCTATGGGGCAAAGAAGACGTGATTAAAACAAATATTTAAAAGACTAATGATATCCTATGCTGGTGAGGCTGTAGGGAAACAGGAACTCACATCTCACGTGGCTTTTTTTTTTTTTTTTTTTTTTTTGAGATGGCAACTCACTCTGTAGCCCAGGCTGCATTGTGCAGTGGCATGATGACTGTTCACTGCAGTCACGACCTCCCAAGTTCAGGTGATCCTCCCGCTTCAGCCTCCTGAGTCGCTGGGATTACAGGCACTTGCCACCCCACCCAGCTAATTTTTGTATTTTTAGTAGAGATGAGGCTTCACCATATTGGCCAGGCTGGTCTCAAACTCCTGACTTCAGGTGATCTACCCACCTCAGCCTCCCAAAGTGCTGGGATTAAGGCATGAGCCACCGTGCCTGGCCGGTAATACATAATTCTTAATTTCAACTGTTCCTGGTTAATTAGGAGGGTTCTTTTTGGGTATTCATTTTTGACTGATTTTTTTGGCATCTATTATGATAATTGTTTTTTTTTCTCAGTTGACAAACTCATGGCTTATTAATTTCATACAGAATAATCTACAGTTTTATTTTCTTGAATTGTATGTAGGATTTTCCACCCCTGGAACTGATGACTGATGAGTATGGTTTTCAGTTTTCCTTTCTTCCTGTGCTATTATTAGGAATTGGTATAAGGGGAATTGTGGCTTCATAAAATGAAATAGACAGCATTCTATCTTTTCTGGGTTCTGATGCAGATTAGTAGGGTGAAAATTATCTATTCAGTGAGTTTGAGAGATTTCTTCCATTAAACTGTCTGAGGCCAGAGCCTTTTTAAAATTTCATTTATTTATTTTTGAGACAAGGTCTTGCTCTGCTGCCCAGACTAGAGTGCAGTAGCACGATCACGGCCCACTTGCAGCCTGAACCTCCCAGGCCCAAGCCATCATCCAACCTCAGCCTCCTGAGTAGCTGAGATCACAGGTGTGCACCACTGTGCCTAGCTAATTTTTTAATTTTTTTTTTTTTTTTTTTTTGAGACAGGGTCTCACTCTGTCGCCCAGGCTGGAGTGCAACAGCGCAATCTCAGCTCACTGCAACTTCCACCTCCTGGGTTCAAGTGATTCTCTTGCCTCAGCTTCCCGAGTAGCTGGGACTACAGGCATTCACCACCACAACTGGCTAATTTTTGTATTTTTTGGTAAAGATGGGGTTTCACTAATGTTGGCCAGGCTGGTCTCAAACTCCTGACTTCAGGTGATCCACCTGCCTTGGTCTCCCAAAGTGCTGGGATTACAGGTGTAAGCCACCATGCCCAGCCCAATTTTTAAATTTTTTTGTAGAGACAGGGTCTCCCTATGTTGTCCAGGCTGGTCTTGAACTCCTGGGCTCAAGCCATCCTCCTGCCTCGGCCTCCTAAAGTGTTGAGATTATAGGCGTGAGCAACGATGCCGGCCACCAGAACCTTTTTTGGACATATTTCTTGGATGATGTTTTTAATATCTTTGTTATCCTTGTAATTTTATTTCCCAGAAAATGAGCCCCTTTATCAAGGTTTTCAGGGCCGGGCACGGTGGCTCAGTTCTGTAATCCCAGCACTTTGGAAGGTGGAGGAGGGTGGATCACTTGAGGCCAGGAATTCGAGACCAGCCTGGCCAACATGGCGAAACACTGTCTCTACTAAAAATACAAAAAATTAGCTGGGTGTAATGGTGCACGCCTGTAATGCCAGCTACTGAGACTGAGGCAAAAGAAGCACTTAAACCCGGGAGGCGGAGGTTGCAGGGAGCCAAGATCATGCCACTGCACTCCAGCCTGGGTGACAGAGCAAGACTCTCTCAAAAAAAAACAACTTGTGTGATCATTAATCAGCAGGTGACAAATCATCTTAAGCAACAACAAAACAAAACAAAACAAAGTATTGATTAGTTCACTGAACTGATGAACCTAGATACAAATAGTCTAATCTCAGCACTTTGGGAGGCCGAGGCGGGCGGATCTCAAGGTCAGGAGTTCGAGACCAGCCTGACCAACATAATGAAACCCCGTCTCTACTAAAAATACAAAAATTAGCCCGGCGTGGTGGTGGCACATGCCTGTAATCCCAGCTACTCAGGAGGCTGAGGCAGGAGAATTGCTTGAACCCAGGAGGCGAACGTTGCAGTGGGCTGAGATTGCACCATTGCATTCCAGAGGGAGACTCCATTTCAGAAAAAAAAAAAAAAAAAAAAAAAAAAAAAGTCTAGTTCATAGTTGCTCTGAAAGAAAGGAAGGGGATTGCATTAGTTATTCATTCAATAGTTACACACTATGCTAGAGTTTGTGTAAATTTTAAGTGAGACTCTGTCTCAAAAAAACAAAAAAGTTTTCATATGCATTGGACCAGAGTCAGATATAGATAGTATTCTCTTATTTTCCTGGTGTTCTTTTAAAGATGCAAAACCACATTAGTCTATGAAATAGGAATGGAGACTACAAAGAGAGATTAAGTTGAGATCAAGACAGAGGTGGAATGGAAATTGGCTGAAAGAAAAATAAAACAAGCAGAATCAAATGTCTTATTGGAGAAAATAAACAGTACTCTTGGCTCTGAAGAAAATTAAATCCGTAATGGTGAAGAAAAACTTGATATAGTCTCCCAGGGTGCAGAGAAAACAAACAGATTTATTTGACATTGGTGATCCAATGTGATAGTTTTAGAGGAGAGGAAAGAAAAAAACCCAAATCTTTTCACAGAATGGACAGGAAGAAAACTTTTCTAAGCTACAAAGAAGACCTCTTTTGTTTCTGGAAAATTAATAGATAAGGCCCATATTGATTTATACTGGCAAAATGTTTGACTTTTGAGGGTAAAGAAAAACCCTTGCAAGCACCAAGCAAACTGCTGACCTTAAACAGACAAACCCAGCTTTGCATTTTCAGTGCCAGAAGACAATGAAATAAAGACAAGAGTTTTGAGGGGGAAAGCTTGAGACTCAAGAATCCTATAAACAGGAAATCATTATAAAGGCATTCTCACCTAAGGCAAAGGCTTAGGAAATACAACATTCCAGAGTCCTCCCTGAAATCACCAGTCATGTGAGAGATGGGTCCAAATGAGGAATAGAAAAATTAGAGCACAAAAAACCGGCAGTAACATTGAAACCAATTAAACAGAGTTGGCAAAAGCCAAAAACAAGGATTGAAAAAGAATGTTGTGGCTTAAAAAAAAAGTGTAAACAAAAGTTAGGTCTGTCGTCCTGATTAAGTGGACAAATATAAGTAGTGAGGGCGGCAGGTAGGAGGCAGAAAAGCACACAAAATTTCTCATGGGGGAATATAAAAACGAATTATTTGTCACTGACTTTACTAATGTGTGAAATGTAAACTATTTTCATTTGATAAATCTAAAGGCAGCCGCGAGAAGAATTAAAAATACTTTCTGCCTTGAAAATCACGATAGAAGATAAAAGCAAATGTGGGAAAATTCAGAAAACAGGAATAAATAAAAACTATAGAATACGAAGTCGTAAGACCAAACACAACACCTATAAACAGCAGAGACGTAATGCGTTAAATCCCAGCCAGAGCAGAGGCGCTGCAGTTCTTAGGGCAGACCCTGGTGCCTCCAGGCTTTTGCTAGTGCTAAACTCTCGGCTAGGCTTGCCTCCCTACCCTATTCAAGGCTGAGGCCTCAATTCAAGGCCGACTCCCTCCTCCCGGCAGTCCTCCCGGGCCGCCCTAGGCTGAGTGAGCACTCCCCACAGTGAACGCTGCCCGCGCGGGCGAGGCCGGCGCTCCGGGTCCGGTACGAAGTCCCACCTCACTCCCTCTCACCCCGGGTTACAGCGTGTGGTCTGGGGCCACGCGTTACGCCAGGCGCGGGGCACAGGGTGAAAGCGTTCAATCCTGCTGGAGTGTAATGTGTATTTTTTCCCCGTCGCACCTTCCAGACGGTGATCCAGTGTGAGCAGCAAGTTTCAAATCGTCTCCGTTTGGTCACGAACGGAGTTTACTGCCCCTCGACGCCTCCCGCACGACAGCCCGTGGTCCTCGCGCCCGGGCGGGTCGTTGCTCGGCCGGGCGGATCCACCCGCGACGGCTCGTCCCGACCCCTCCCTAGCGGACTTGCAAGGTCTCAGGGCGTCCGCTGGGAGGCCGCGTCCCGAAGAGCTGGCGCGGGAGAGGAATGGGGCTCGGGGCTCCGAGTCGGGAGCCCCTTCCCCCAAGCAAGAGGGGCTCCTCCTCCTCTTCCTAGACGTGGGATTCAGGGAGGGCGCGGTTCCATTGGATTTGTTGCAGAGGAACGACTGGGCCTGAGCCCAAGCCCAAGGGCCTGGGGGGTAACGAGCGATGAGCAGAGGGGCTCGCGGCGGACTTGCTGCGCCCTAGAGAGGGTGAGGCTGAGGGGTCCCACGCGCGGGCGGGGCGCAGCGACGAAGGGGTTAAGGCGCCTCACCCCGCCCCAGCCCGGGCATTGGCTGCCCTGGGGGGCGTGGCCGGAGGGCGGGCTCGCGTTTGCCGCAGCCGCTGGTGGGCGGGGCTCGGGCGGGGAGCAGGAGGGGCGCGGAGCGGAGCCGGGCCCGCGCAGCGCGCCCCGCCGGGCGTGCTTCGGGCTGCGCCAGCAAGCGGGGCCGGTGGCGCCCGTGTCGGAGACCCCGCGCCGGACCCTGAGGCAGCGAGTAAGTGAGGCAGGCCCATCGTGGCATCCCTCCCGGCTCCGACCTGCCGCCGTGCCTGCTGCACTGCGCGGCATGTCTGACCTGACCCGGACTGGGTAGGGGGCGCGTCCCGCTGCTAGGGTCCCAAGGGGGAGGGGAGCGGAGAGGAGGCGGATGATGTCATGGATGCTTCGCCCGGCCTGGGGGGAGGTGGCGGCCAGAGGGGGTGCGGCTCGGATTATGTCACCTCTTCCCTCTGCGCCCCGCCCCCCGGGGCCACACGCGTTGGTGGGGAGCCTGGGGAGGTGCGGGCGGGGTTTCCCCCATCGCAGGGACTCCCAGGTCCTGTGGCCTGTGGCTGGGGTCTCTATCAGTTGGCTCTGCGGGCCGTGGGCTGCTGGTGAATGGCGACCCCCCCTCCCACCCCCAGCAGAAGCTCGTGTGTGCGCGCGTGTGTGTGCTCGGGGTGGAGGGGGCGCTCTCGGCCCCCTCAGTCCTGAAACACTGGCTTCATCAGAGCCAGTAGCTAGGTGATGGGCCCATTCCGCTGCCAGTGCTTAGGCCACCGAGGGAAGACGGATCTCCCCTCACTCATCCCAACCAAGAAGTTCTGGATATCTCTGCACCCCAAAAGCCCTGCAGTGCCCCCAGATCCCTTTCCTCCCTCAGTCCTGCTTCCTGGAAACCCCTCCTGCTCTCCCTGCCCGGATTCACTGCCTCTTTGCATTGCCCATAACTAGCATTCCCACAGGCATTTGCCCTGCATTTCCTTGGTGCAGGGCCCAGAGACCCCCAGGACTCTGCCCTCTGTGCTCCTGGGAAACCTATAGGCCAGCCCTGGGGAGGCCTCAGAGTGAAATCTCCCTGGGGTGTCCTCAGCCAAGTGCTCCAAGATGCCCCCTCTGGGGGGTGGAGATCAGGGATGCTGTCCTGAGGCCAGCCTTTGAACTGGTCTAGAAGCATGTAGGATGGGCACAGAGAGCTGGCAAGAGCTTGTGTGTGAAGTAGAGAGGGGCTCAGGTCAGGGTAGATAGAGGAGGGGCATCAGGAGAGTCCTTGGGGACCCTGCTGCAAGCTCTGCTCTGGTTCTGGGGACCAAGAGGAATACCAGGCATTTCACCCATCATACATTTACTTCTTAAAATGCCTGCAATGTAGGTGTGAGAACCCGAGGTGAAATAACCTGCATGAGGTTGCACCCCTAATCAGTCAAGCTGGGATTTACACTTGGAGCTGATGCTGCCAGAACTCTGTCTACTGCACTTGGTCTTGCTCATGGAAGGATTTGGACAGAGCAGGGGCAAGATCAGCTTTGCCCTTTAGAAGGAATCCCCTGGCAGCTGCCTGGGGGAGGGAGTGCAGGAGAAGAAAGTCCATTGAGGAGCCCCCAGCAGGGGTGCTGGATGGAGGGGCTGGCTAGAGATTTTTAGGAGATAGAATGGGCTGGGGTTGGGGCCTCTGAGACCCCAAGTGTTCCTAGCTTTGGGAGAGACACAGGTTGAGGGGTGGGTTGGAGGTACCTGTACATGTAACTGTCAGGTAGAGTCCGTTTGGCCCCCTCATGACGCTAATACTGTGTATAATGCCCCAGGCACTGAGGGCTGAGGTGACAGAGATCGAGGCAGTCAGGCAACAGGCTGTCATCTCAGGGTGGTGCACTGATGCCAGGAGGCTGCCTTTGCAGACCATGCTCAGTTACCTGGACTAGTTCAGGACCGTGACCTTTCCTCTCAGTTCAGTTCCTGCTTACCAGGGAAACATCCCCTTCCTTGTCCTGCCGGTGTCCTGCTGGGATTTTTTTTTTTTTTTTTTTGAGGGGGTATCTCACTCCGTTGCCCAGGCTGCTGGAGTGCAGTGGCGCAATATCACTGCAACCTCCACCTCCTGGGTTCAAGCGATTCTCATGCCTCAGCCTCCCGAGTAGCTGGGATTACAGACACGCACCACGACGCCCGGCTATCTGCTGGGATTTTGTGGAAAGAAGCTGCAGCAGCCAAAGCTTGGGAGAGACAAGGGGCAGGGCATGCTTGCAAGGGGTTAACCATGACAGGTTACAATTACGACAAGAAGCTCTTTAGGCAGTGAGGCTCCAGAGAGAGCTTCTGTGGGTTGATAGTCAAGCATTCCCCAGGTAGAGCACGGAGAAAGGAGGCTCAGGACAATGGTCCTGGGACCTTGTTTCCATCCACGACTCGAGGCATCTGAGACTTGCTAGGGACTACACACACTCTAGAGAAACAGTAGGGGAGAGTGGCCTATGACCAGCCCCAACCTATGCTCAGGTTGTCCTTTCCCGGATCTCAGAGAAGGTGTACTACATGTTTGTATTGCCCCTTATAGTTTACAAAGCACCTTCCCAAACATTATACCCTGTCACTCAAGGTCAACATGATCACTGTTGAGGTTTATTCCTGCCCAGATCCAGGTATCTGGTGCAGTCACCTTGCTATCCCCTTGCCTAGATCTTTCATCTCACTATTGGCAACTTCCCTCAGCATATTAACACACAGGTTTCTACCATGGTTAATTTTAAAATTAAAAAAGCCCTTGAATCTCAAACCTCCTTAAATAACTGTCTTCTCTTTTAGCAGGAACTCTGCCATGTCTTTCTCTGCACTCCTCTAGCCTTGTGGACTGCCTTTGTTTTGTACCACTTTTTTTGTTCTGTTTTGTTTATTTGTTTGAGAGGGAGTCTTGCTCTGTCACCTATGCTGGAGTGCAGTGGTGCGATCTTGGCTCACTGCAACCTCCACCTCCTGGGTTCAAGCCATTCTCCCGCCTCAGCCTCCTGAGTAGCTGGGATTACAGGCATGCACCACCACACCCAGCTAATTTTTTTGTATTTTTAGTAGAGGCAGGGTTTCGCCCTGTTGGTCAGGCTGGTCTCGAACTCCTGATCTTAGGGGATCCACCTGTCTTGGACCTCCCTAAGTGCTAGGATTACAAGCGTAAGCCACCGCGCCAACCTGTTTTTTTTTTTTTTTTTTTTGATGTAGTCTCGCTCTGTCTTCCAGGCTGGAGTGCAGTGGCATGATCTCGGCTTACTGCAACTTCTGCCTCCCGGGTTCCAGTGATTCTCCCACCTCAGCCTCCTGAGTAGGGGATTACAGGCGCGCACCACCACGCCCAGCTAATTTTTTGTATTTTTAGTAGAGACGGGGTTTCACCACGTTGGCCAGGCTGGTCTCGAACTCCTGACCTCAAGTGATTTGCCTGCCTTGGCCTCCCAAAGTGCTGGCATTACAGGTGTGAGCCACCGCATCCGGCACTTGTACCACTTTTCTGAAACCATTCTGACATAGACATTGGTGATGTCTCGAGACCAGCTCCTAAATCCGCAGCACACTCTCCAACCCCAGTGTTACCTGGCCCTGTTATTTTTAACACTGGAAACTGTCCCCACATTCTTGAATCCCCCCAATCTTGGCCTTCAGGGCCCACCTTCTCCTGGCCTTCTTCCTGCTCCCAGAGTGCCTTCCAGACTTCTGGGGCTTTGCTCCCTGGCTCAGTGCTGGCCTACACCCCCAGCACCCTTGAAAACTGATGATCTCAATCTCTCTCCATCTAGTGCTTTTTTTTTTTTTTTTTTTTTTTTTAAGGAAAGAGTCTCGCTCTGTCACCCAGGCTGGAGTGCAGTGGTGCAATTACAGCTCACTGCAACCTCTGCCTCCTGGGTTCAAGGGGGTTCTCGTGCCTCAGCCTCCCAAGTAGCTGGGATTACAGGAATGCATACCGCACCCAGCTAATTTTTGTATTTTTAGTAGAGATGGGGTTCCACCAATTTGGCCAGGATGGTCTTGAACTCTTGGCCTCAAGTAATCTGCCCACCTTGACCTCCCAAAGTGCTGGGATTACAGGCATGAGCCACCTTGCTTGGCCTCCATTTAGTGCTTGAGAGGTATCTTCCTCTGGTGTTTCCCAAAGCAACTATTTTCCCCAAGCAGTCTCCCCCTATCATGTTAACAGTGTCACACGCACGCTGGTGCCCAGTCCAGCATTATCCCTTGTCCCCACCACCTGACCTCATCTGTATGAAATTTTGCCAGTTCTTTCCCAAACCCTGCCCAGGCCTTCCTACTGGTTCCAAGCCTCAGGCCTTTCAGGCTTCATCCTCCCAGTCCCCAGCTGCTCCCCACATTGCACCCAGAGGTGGCAAGAGAAGGGTCCATACTTAAGGTAGGAGGGGGTTGCAGGGCTGAGGCATAGGGGGCTGGAGTATGCTGGGGAGTAGAGGCAGAGCAGGGACTAGAGTGAGGCCAGAGAGGGACCCAAGGCACAAAGGGAAGGAGGCTGTCACCCTCAGGGCTGTGTACTTGCTGTTTGTGCCCTTCATTTGTGCCCTACGTGGCTCTCTGTCCTCATCCTAGTCCTGGCCCTTGCTTATGGGGACAGACGGGTCCAAGGGAGGAGGGTGGCGAAGTGCTCTTCTCCACACCTGTGGGGACAGATGCTGAGAATGGAATTCTACAGAGACAGTGGACAGGCTTGGTAGTGAACTTTCCAACAACCTAGAGCTCTCATTCCTGGTGTGGGGGCCAGAAGACTCCCGAAGGACAACAGTTTTGTCAGGTGCCCTTGGTCTGGGCCAGGGACTCAGCATTAGAACTGGGCATCTGGGTAGAAGACGGTCTGTGGGGCCATAGGGTGCCACGTGGGCCCCTTAACTTGATAGGGAAGGAGGGCTCCCTGCCTGGTTTATGCAGGGTGTAGTGGGAAAAGGCCTGAAGGGCGCCCTCTCCCATTTCCCACACACTTATTTGAGGGTCTAACCCGAGGCAGACACTGCCTGGTGCTCCTGCCCGGCTGCATTATGCAGATCTCTGGGGCAGGTGTTCCCAGGTGCGAACTTGAGACAAAGGAACGAGGAAGCACGGCCTCCCTGAGCACAGGTAACCCGAGGCCTGGCTCCCCCTGCGCTTGTGGGCCGGCCTTGGGGGAGGGGGACGCGCACCCACAGAAGGACTCAGAGGGCTTCACGGTAAGCTGAGCAGGGTCAAGGTCCACAGGGAGCGGGAGAGGGTAGTAATCCGGGAAGTCTTCCTGGTGGCAGTGAATTCTTTGCGGGGTTCGGCAGGCGCAGGATCCTTGGGGCCGCGCACCCTGCAGCGGCCCCTCCCCTCCCCTCCCCCCTCCCACCTGTGGGAAACGCAGGCCCTGAGAGAGGCTCCGTCAGTGCCAGCAGCTGGCGCCACTGCGTCCCCTGCCCCGGCCTCAGCCAGCCCTGGGACCTCTGCGGAGGACTGATCCCGGGAAGGGGGCCCTGTCTTCCCAGGGCCCCGGTGCGGCCGAGCTGGGAAGACCTTGGGGAGGGCAGGCCTGCCACCTACTGCAGCCGCGGCCCCCGTCCATCCGGGAGGGACAGGCTGTGCCCTTGGCGGCGCCCACCCGCGACCCAGATGTGCGTCGCCTACCCACCCTCCCCCAGACCCCCGTTTCCTCAGGCGCTCGCCGCCTCGGGGCGCCTGGCACGCGGCAGCCCCGCAAGGTAGGTCCTTCATTCCTCCCATTTCGCAGAGGAGAAAACTGCAGTCCGGGATGGCTCAGTCGGCCCCTCCAAAGTCGCGCAGCTGGTTCGGGCCGAGCCCCGACTGCGAGAGTGAGGCACATGGCCCCTGCAGACCGGGCCTCGGAGGGTCCCAGGCTTGAGGACCCGTCGGCCCCTCAACCCCTTGGAAAGGCAAGGAGAGAAGCCTGCGCTGGTAGTGAGCTTCCACTTCTGCCCTGACTGCAACACTTAGGTTAGGGGGCTGGGAAGGACCCCCACCCTCAATTTTTGGATAGGGGTGTATTTCTCTCCCTCCCCTAATTTCTGAGGTTGGTTCCCTGTTGGATTCAGGTACTGCTCTCCCCTTCCAACCCCATTTCCCCAGCCCATGAGGTTGGGATATTAGGGTCCCAGACCCAAGATAAAGAACCCCAAAATTCTGGGGTTGCAGCAAAGAGTTGAGAGGGTCACTGAGCCTGGGAAGCTCATGGCGGAGGTGGGGCTAAGGCAGAAGTTTAGGAATGGAACGCTGAGCTGAGCTGAGCTGAGCTGAGCTGAGCAACGCTGGGGGCTATGTGCATGGAGCCCTGGGGGTTGGGCTTTATCAGGTGGGCAACAGGCAGCCCCCATTCCCAAGTTCTCTCTTTTATCCCAGCCTTATTCCTTCACCTTGGATGCCTGGGAACTTTTTGTACCCATTGTAGGGAAGGGGACACTGAGGGGCAGAGCGGTGCCGGGTTGACTTGGCTGGGGTGGTGGGAATAGGAGTAGGGTCTTACCTATCTCTGCCTTCCCACCTGTGCCCACAGTGCCCCCCTGGCTTAGTCATGGCGAAGCTGGAGACGCTGCCTGTGCGCGCTGACCCAGGGCGGGATCCTCTCCTGGCCTTTGCCCCACGGCCCTCCGAGCTTGGACCCCCGGACCCCCGCCTGGCCATGGGCAGCGTGGGCAGTGGGGTGGCCCATGCCCAGGAGTTTGCCATGAAGAGCGTGGGTACCCGCACAGGGGGTGGGGGCAGCCAGGGCAGTTTCCCTGGCCCCCGAGGCAGTGGCAGTGGGGCCAGCAGGGAGAGGCCGGGCCGCTACCCCTCAGAGGACAAGGGTCTCGCCAACTCCCTCTACCTCAATGGTGAGCTGCGGGGCAGTGACCACACCGATGTCTGTGGCAACGTGGTTGGCAGCAGCGGAGGCAGCAGCAGCAGTGGTGGCAGTGACAAAGCCCCACCGCAGTATCGTGAGCCCAGCCACCCACCCAAGCTCCTGGCCACCTCTGGCAAGCTAGACCAGGTCAGTCCGCAGGGCCTGAGACCCTCACAGCCTTTTTCTGGGGGTGGGAGGCAACCCAGAGAGGAAGGCAAAGTGGGCCTTCTTGGAGGTTGGGTTGTGGGGGCAGGATGGAGGCTGGGCTGGGGAGTCATGGACTGGGGACCTGGGGCCAAGTCTAGCGGGTAGATCAAGGACAGAGATCTGGTATCAGGGAGCCATGAGGTAGAACCCCGGATGGGGAACCTCAGGGTGGAAATCCAGTAGGGGTGGGAGGTGGGGCTGGACAAGTCTTGGCCAGAGGGAAGAGCCTGGGCCAAGCCCAAGGCCTCATCCTGACCCCCAGCCCCCTCCTGCGTTTCCTGCAGTGCTCAGAACCACTAGTTCGGC
Source organism: Homo sapiens (assembly GCF_000001405.40). Classification (NCBI taxonomy): domain Eukaryota; kingdom Metazoa; phylum Chordata; class Mammalia; order Primates; family Hominidae; genus Homo; species Homo sapiens. The sequence goes on along the minus strand of NC_000020.11, from coordinate 3,166,338 downwards.
CGTCGGCCTTCAAGCCTGTCGTACCCAAGAATTTCCACTCCATGCAGAATTTGTGCCCCCCGCAGACCAATGGGACTCCTGAGGGACGGCAGGGCCCTGGTGGCCTCAAAGGCGGACTGGACAAGTCTCGGACCATGACTCCAGCGGGTGGGAGTGGGAGTGGCCTCTCAGACTCAGGCCGGAACTCCCTCACAAGCCTGCCCACCTACAGCTCCAGCTACAGCCAGCACCTGGCACCCCTCAGTGCCTCCACCAGCCACATTAACCGCATTGGCACTGCCAGCTATGGTAGTGGTAGTGGCGGCAGCAGCGGTGGGGGGTCGGGCTACCAGGACCTGGGGACCTCCGATAGTGGACGGGCCTCCAGCAAGAGTGGGTCGTCGTCATCTATGGGGCGGCCAGGCCACCTGGGCTCTGGGGAGGGCGGAGGTGGAGGCCTGCCTTTCGCGGCCTGCTCACCGCCCTCCCCCAGTGCACTCATCCAGGAGCTGGAGGAGCGGCTGTGGGAGAAGGAGCAGGAGGTGGCAGCTCTGCGGCGCAGCCTGGAGCAGAGCGAGGCGGCTGTGGCCCAGGTACTGGAGGAGCGGCAGAAGGCGTGGGAGCGGGAGCTGGCCGAGCTGCGGCAGGGCTGCAGCGGGAAGCTACAGCAGGTGGCCCGACGTGCCCAGCGCGCCCAGCAGGGCCTACAGCTGCAGGTGTTGCGGCTGCAGCAGGACAAGAAGCAGCTGCAGGAGGAGGCGGCCCGGCTGATGCGGCAGCGGGAAGAGCTGGAGGACAAGGTGGCCGCCTGCCAGAAGGAGCAGGCCGACTTCCTGCCCCGGATAGAGGAAACTAAGTGGGAGGTGCGGGCTGGGGATCTGGGCCTCCCCTCTGCCTCCCTTCTGTCCCTCTGGGAAACCCCAGAGCAGTTGCCCCTCACTATCATAACGGTGGGATGGGGGGGGGGATGAAAGGAGCAGGGGGGACAAAAATCAATTGGGAGTGTCTGTGAGGACCCGAGGCCATCCGCTGGGTGAGACATGTCCATCTTGAGTCCAGGCAGGGAATCGGGTGCGTCGCTGCTGATGAGGGGCTGAGCCTGCAGCCCCGGGAAGCTTGGTGCCCCTGGCTCCAGATCTGGTAGCTGGGTTGGGGTGAGCAGAGCTCTGCCTTTACCTGGCTTCTCCTCTCACCTGTTCCTGCCCAGGTGTGCCAGAAGGCTGGCGAGATCTCCCTCCTGAAGCAGCAGCTGAAGGACTCGCAGGCGGATGTGTCGCAGAAGTTGAGTGAGATCGTGGGACTGCGCTCGCAGCTGCGGGAGGGCCGGGCTTCGCTGCGGGAGAAGGAGGAGCAGCTGCTCAGCCTGCGGGACTCCTTCAGCAGCAAGCAGGCCAGCCTGGAGCTGGGCGAAGGCGAGCTGCCTGCCGCCTGCCTCAAGCCGGCGCTGACCCCCGTGGACCCGGCCGAGCCACAGGATGCTCTGGCCACCTGCGAGAGCGACGAGGCTAAGATGCGCCGTCAGGCCGGGGTGGCCGCTGCCGCCTCCTTGGTTTCCGTGGACGGGGAGGCGGAGGCTGGCGGGGAGAGCGGGACGCGGGCCCTGCGGCGGGAGGTGGGGCGGCTGCAGGCCGAGCTGGCGGCTGAGCGGCGGGCCCGGGAGCGCCAGGGTGCCAGCTTCGCCGAGGAGCGCCGCGTGTGGCTGGAGGAGAAGGAGAAGGTGATCGAGTACCAGAAGCAGCTGCAGCTGAGCTACGTGGAGATGTACCAGCGCAACCAGCAGCTGGAGCGCAGGCTGCGGGAGCGCGGGGCCGCAGGGGGTGCAAGCACGCCCACTCCCCAGCATGGCGAGGAGAAGAAGGCCTGGACCCCCTCCCGCCTCGAGCGCATTGAGTCCACAGAAATCTGATCGACCTGGGCACTCGGCATTTTGACACATGTCCTGTCAAAAGGCCAGAGTCCCCAGTGTCCCCTCCCCTCCATCTCTCTTCCCCATAGACCCCATAACCCCAGACCAAAGAGGTTCTCTAAGCAGCTGTGACCAGGTTCCTCCCTCCCCACCTGCCCTCCTAGCTCCAGCACTGCCCCCGTGGCAGCCCACTTGGACCCCCCTAAAAGGAGGGAATAGGAGGAGGGCAGGGTGAGTGGGGGCAATCCTAGGTGGTGGGGGAGTCATGCTCCCTTTCTCGGCACCCCCTTGTTGGAGATGGAGGCAGCAGACGTGCAGTGCCATAAGGTGCCCCAGTCCTTCTGGAGGCCTGGGCTGCTACTGTTGGCCACCCTGTGTCTAGTGATGCTCTCTGTGCTCACCTCCTAGGCCATGGAGCCTGAGGGGGCCTGCACCAGGTTTGCTGAAACTGACAGAGCCTGGGCTCCAGACCTCTCTCCCTCCTACAGTGCTCTCCCTCCCTGGGCAGATTGGCAGGACAAGTGGGAGCAGATGGCCTGCCTTTGGCTGAGAGGGCTACCTGCCCAGCCCCTCCCCCAACAAGATCTCTTGGACTCAGGCCTCAGAGCCTGGCCTGGTTGTGAGTGTGTGTCCCTGTGTGTGTGTTGCGGGAGGGGAGGACTGGGGCTGGAAGTCCAGCACCCAGGGAAGATCTGTCCTCCTGTTCTTGGGAAGCGTTGCCTGACGGCTTCTCGGCTCTACCCTCACCCTTCTGGCCAGGATCCCGCAGGGCAACAGCCCCATCTGCTTGGCTGACCCCACACCCAGGACCACTGTCCGGCTCTAACACAGCTATTAAGTGCTACCTGCCTCTCAGGCACTCTCCTCGCCCAGTTTCTGAGGTCAGACGAGTGTCTGCGATGTCTTCCCGCACTCTATTCCCCCAGCCTCTTTCTGCTTTCATGCTCAGCACATCATCTTCCTAGGCAGTCTCTTCCCCAAAGTCTCACCTTTTCTTCCAATAGAAAATTCCGCTTGACCTTTGGTGCACTGCCCACTTCCCAGCTCCACTGGCCCAAGTCTGAGCCGGAGGCCCTTGTTTTGGGGGCGGGGGGAGAGTTGGATGTGATTGCCCTTGAAGAACAAGGCTGACCTGAGAGGTTCCTGGCGCCCTGAGGTGGCTCAGCACCTGCCCAGGGTAGGCCTGGCATGAGGGGTTAGGTCAGCCAATGTCAGCTGCTTCTCTTGGGGCCCTCTCAGAGTCTATCTCCCCAAGACAGGAAGGGAAAAGCAAATTTCTAATTCACCAGCAATAAAAATTGGAGGAGGCTTGGCCCTCAGCCCTTATATCTCTCTCTTTTTCACTCTCTTCCTCCCACCCCCAAGACTGAGTTTTGGGGGGCAAGGTGGAGAGAGCTGGCAACTACTGTGAGCAAGTCCCCTAGCCCCTGACCAGCCTCCTCCCATGACTGGTGACTGTTTAATGAGCTGTGCATCCCCCACAAAAACATGAGTGCCCCTCTGTGTGGCCTCTAACCCTCTGCACAGCCCTTCTGGGTGGTCCTCACCAGGTCTCTGAGCTGGGTGGGAGGCCATCCTGGCGACCACTGCCCATTCCATTCACCCCTCACTGTACCTGCCCTAGAACCTGGGCCTAGGCCACAGGGGCAGGGAGAAGAGAAGGCATTAGTAAGAAAAAAATAGAAAAAAATATGAACAGACTCAGCTTTGGGACGTCCAACCACAAAAGAAATTATATATAAATATATATAAATATATATCTCTACCATATGTGATGGAAAGACTTTTTGTTTTCCTTTCCCAAAGAAATAAAACGGAAAAAGCCTCTTGAGTGGTATTCTTTGGCCTGCTTGTGTCTTTGCAGGTGCGGGAGGTGAGGCCCGGGTGGGGGATGGGGGCAAAGCTGGAGTAAACAGATTTCCCAGAGGAGGCATGAGACTGGAGGTGCTCACTGGGCCGTGCTAGGAGGTTGGCCCAAAGCCCAAGTTCTGCCACGTTGCCCGGGAAGAGTCGTGGTGCCATGTATATGCCCAGTGGGGCTTTCTCTTCAGCTCAGACTGTTGCCAAAGGGGTTAAAAGCTGGCTCCAGCTCAGAATCTGGACACTAAGCTGCTAGCCAGAAAACAGGTGACGCAGGACAGCTAGATGCAGCCTGCAGTCGCCTAAGCCACCTTACAGCAACTGGTAGATGTTTGCGGGCTGAATGGATAGAAGTGAAGACTGGGAACAGGTTTGCAATTAATGGCGAAGCCCCAAAGGCAAAAGGGACCCAAGCGTGCTGCACAGCAGAGAGCTTCCCTTTACAACAGTTCCTCTGTCATCCTCTCAAAGCACACAATCAAGAATGCACTCTGCTGTAAGTAATCAAAGGACCTCAAAGAGTGGTTTATTTTTCCCCAACCTGACAAGAAATCCGGAGGTGGTGTCATGGTTGTTGGATCCTCGGGGACCTAGATTTTCATCCTCCCACTGTTCCATCCTTGGCATGTTGTTCCCTCCTTACCACAAAGTGGCTGCCACAGCTCCATGAAGACATTGAGGCGGCCCTACTTTATCATGAAAAGTAAAAGCTTTCCCAGAGCCCTCCCAGGACCCTTCCCTTTAAGTCCTGTTGGCCAGAACTGAGCCACATGCTCCTCCCACTTCAAGGGAGAATGGGAATTTGAGTATTACAAAGAGAAACAGGATTGTCATGGCTGCCTAGGAACAAACATGGTTCATTCCTTGGGGGCAGGCTCTCTGCTTTCTCTGGGTTCTACTGGCAAGGACAGAGTCATAACAATGAATAGTGTTTGCCCTGGTCTGGCCTGAGGGAGAGAACCCTCCCTAAGCAGTGGTGTCTGTGGTCTGGGGCTCCAGATATTCAAACAGCGCTGTCTCCAGAGCTCAGGAGTTGGGATGTCAGGCTTGCCCCTCCTGGCAGGGACGTGTTCTTCCTACATTGATTTTGTCTTCCCTACAAGATAGGCCCTGGAGGGAGCATGATTTCTCAGCTCTCCTTCACACCCCTTAGAGCCAAGGCATTGACAAGATATGAAGACCCTGATCAGCAGATCTCAAGTGCCCTCAGGAATGGCAGCCTGGGGCCAGGACTTTCTGATAGGTAGAGGTTTAGTAGAGTCTCTTTCTTGTCTAGGTACCTATACTGACAGCTGTGTCAATATATGTACCCAGTAGGACCCAGCCCTCCTTCTTAGGGTGGTGGAGAATCACCCTGGCTCATGCTCCATAGCTCTGGCCTCGCTAAGCCCCAGCTCCACATCCATTTCTCTCAGCAGGCTCATCTATCCATCATGTCACTAGCTCTTTTCCTGAGAGCACTTTACAGATACATCTCTATTATAAATGCATTAAAAAAAAAAAAAGATGGAGTCTCACTGTTGCCCCGGCTGGAGTGCAGTGGTGCAATCTCGGCTCACTGCAACCTCTACCTCCTGCGTTCAAGTGATTCTCCTGCCTTAGCCTCCCAAGTAGCTGGGGTTACAGGTGCACGCCACCATGCCCCGCTAATTTTTTTTTGTATTTTTAGTAGAGACGAGGTTTCACCATGTTGGCCAGGCCGGTCTCCAACACCGGGGATTACAGGTGTGAGCCACCACACCCGACCAATGCATTGTTAAAATTAGACAGGTGTGGTGGTGCATGCCTGTGGTCTTAGCTACTCAGGAGGCTGAGGCAGGAGGATCACTTGAACCCAGGAGGTTGAGGCTGCAGTGAGCCATGATTGCACCATTGCACCCCAGCCTGGGCAATGGGGCAAGACTTTGTCTCAAAAAAAAAAAAAATGTATTGTTTTTCTCACTGTACAGGCTTAGAGAATTTATGTGGGCCGGGTGCGATGGCTCATACCTGTAATCCCAGTACTTTCGGAGGCTGAGGCGGCAGTATTGCATGAGCCCAGGAGTTCGAGACTAGCCTGGGCAACATAGGAAGACACTGCCATCCCCGTCTCTATGAAAATAATAATAATAATATAACAAGAATGAATTTATGTGACTTCTCCAAGGCCATAAAACCCTGAGTGGTGGTCCTCAGATTTGAACATGTGTCTAAGCTACTTACTTTTTTTTTTTTTTTTTTTTTTTTAGATGGAGTCTCGCTCTGTGTCCCAGAGCTGGAGTACAGGGGTGCCCAGACTGGAGTACAGTGGCGAGATATCGGCTCACTGCAACCTCCGCCTCCCGGGTTCAAGCGACTCTCCTGCTTCCGCTTCCTGAATAGCTGGATTATAGGCGTGCGCCACCACGCCCGGCTAATTTTTGTATTTTTAGTAGAGACGGGGGTTTCACCACGTTAGCCAGGCTGGTCTCGAACTCCTGAACTCAGGTGATCCGCCCGCCTTGGCCTCCCAAAGTACTGGGATTACAGGCGTGAGCCACCGCGCCGGGACTAAGCTGCTTAATGACTTCCAGAGCGATCCATCCAGGAAGGTGTTTTCCCTCTGCAGGTCCTAGACTCCCCCTGCCTCCTCAACAACGTCCTCCAGTGGAAAATGTCCTTGGGAAACGCTGACAGAGTCTTTTGAGCCTCGGCCGCATCCGTCACTCGCGCAGCAGGCGGAAGTAGCGGGCAGTTGGCCGGAAGTGGGGCTGTGAGGCTCGGAGTCGCCGGAGGAGCCAGTATCTGTGTCGCCGCCGCCCGCGGCGTCCCCGGTTTGGTGTTGCGGCGCCCACCTTCGGGAGGATCAGGTGAGTGGCGGCGGCCGGGGAGGAGGTCGCGGCGGCCTCTTTCCGCGTTCACGACCGTCCTGGGCCTTGGCCTGTGCCTCCTGTCCTCCCGGCCGGCCCAGAGCTGGAGCGCATCGAGGCCTTGTTCAGCTCTTGGCCTGGGTTGCCAGTGCCTCTCGCAGGCCTGGCTGTGGTGAGAACTTCAGTGACTCTCGCCGCTCCTGAGTTTGTGATCTTTGGCAGGGGGCTTATCTGACCCTTGATTTTTTTTCCTCTGTGAAATGGAGATCGTAACAGTACTTGTCTCACGGTGCTGTTAAGAGAATGTAGTCAGATATTCTGCCGCGCCTCTCATCACACTTTGATGTGCCTGCGAATCGCTTAGAGATTCTGATTCTGTAGGACTGGGGTGGGTTCTGAGATAACTGTGTTCCTAACTAGATTCCAGACGAGGCTGAAGCCTCTGGCACGCAGACCACACACTGAGTAGCAAGGCCCTACAGTATGTTGCTTAGCATTTGGGATGCGGAGTCTTCGGTAAACATCAGTATGATAGGATATATACCTTCCCCCCATTTTTAGCAGTTTCTCGTTGCACAAGCCTAAGGGTAGTATTGATGGCCTTCTCCCTTTTTCTTTCCGTGGGTAAGAATAGTTGCTCTTTCTCTTTCTGTGCAAACCGTGACACAGCTCTTCTGTCTTGACTCAGGGAACTTTGGGTCCCCTCATATCAGCTGTGTTCATCAGTCTTGGGTGATGCTTCACTGATCAGACCCTTGGACAGTGCTTCATCCTGTGGAGCTGATAGCCAGCTGCGTTAGCACCAACTGTGGCTGGCGTTTTGTGCTCCAGTCATTTGTTGCTGCTGGAATCTGAATTCACGTTTTCTACACTTTGTGAATAGTAAGAATGGCTGCCTTTCCAGAACTAGATTCTGTAGCTCACTGACCTGAATGGTCCTGGGCAAGTCCTTGGATAGTTTGCTACTACCTGGTAGACTAAAATAAAATCTGGGCCGGACACAGTGGCTCACGCCTGTAATCCCAGCACTTTGGGAGGTCAAGGCGGGCGGATCACGAGGTCAGGAGATCGAGACCATCTTGGCTAATATGGTGAAACCCCGTCTCTACTAAAAATACAAAAAAATAGCTGGGCGTGGTGGCGGGCGCCTGTAGTCCCAGCTACTCTGGAGGCTGAGGCAGGAGCGTGGCGTGAACCCCGGGAGGCGGAGTGTGCAGTGAGCCGAGATCGCGCCACTGCACTCCAGCCTGGGCGAGAGAGCGAGAGTCCGTCTCAAATAAATGAATAAATAAATAAATAAATAAGTAAATAAAATCTGAAGACTCTGTGCTGCATAACATAACTTAAAAAGTGAGGCCTTTGGCAGTTATGCAGGTCTAATGTTTATTAGTCAGTATGATTTTCTTCCCCATCCATTGGTTTATTTTTTTAGTCCCTAATAAGGCCTTGCCATTCATCATGTGAATAAGTCAACTTTGATATAAAATAATTCTAAGGTCAGGTGCGGTGGCTCATGCCTGTAATCCCAGCACTTTGGGAGGCCGAAGTGGAAGGATTACTTGAGCCCAGGAGTTCGAGACCAACCTGGGGGCAACATAGGGAAACTCTGTCTCTACGAAAAAAACAAAAAACAAAAAAAACACACAAAAAAACAAAATGTAGCCAGGCGTGGTGGTGGGCTTGTAGTCCAAGCTACTTAGGAGGCTGAGGTGGGAGGATCGTTTGAGATCCTTGAGCGATCCTCGCCCGGGAGGTTGCCGGGGTGAGAGGTGGGGGGCAGTGGTCGAGGATGCAGTGAGCGGAGATTGCACCACTGCCCTCCAGACTGAACAACAGAGCGAGACCCTGTCTGAAAAAAAAAACAAAAGAATTCTGAAACTCCTTCTTTATTTGTCTGAAGTATGTACTATACAGCCTCTATACAGCCTTGCAAATTGTAAAAGCAGATAAAACCAAGTGTTTATTGAGCTAACAGTTATAGGTACTTGGACCATTTATTTGGGAATTTTCTCTTATGACGACTGTGTGCATGCAGCTACTTCTCTTTACCTGCCTGGATTTTGTAATTCCTCTAGAAGCCCCATTTAGATGGGCTGAGAGGACATGAGTGCCTACTGCCTGTTGTTATATGGAGAGGTTTTCTAAAGACAGGGTTTTATGAAACCCTTTAAAAGCAGTAGCTCTAACAGAATCATCTACAGGGCTTAGTCATACTATATCTACCCACATCCTTCTTGCCATTCTGATAGAGGAATAGCAGAGTCTTAAAAGAGAAGCGGAAGGGCTGTGTAGCTGAAAAAGTTTCACAAATGTTTGTGATGTGCTGTTTTTCTCCTATCAGCATGGAGTCTAGAACAAAAAGGAAGGGATGGATTGCTAGACTGAATAATTTTAGTTTGGCTTAGACCTGCGAGTGACACTGAACTTGACCTAAACACCTTTGCACTAGTGCTTCACCTTCGCAGTACTGGTAGACTCCTCTCTGAGGCCCTGCTCCCGTGTGGAAACAGAAACACAGAAGAGTCTAGCCCAGTTAACATCCACATTAACAGCTAAGGTCCTTACTGCCAGTCTCTAAGCCCTCACTAGGGGCTTTGAAGTTTTGTAGATTCTCAGCAGAATACCTCAGCACCTAGAGAAAGTTCGGTTTTTTTGCCCTTTTTTTTTGGTAGAGACAGGGTCTCGCCATGTAGCCCAGACTGGTCTTGAACTCCTGGCCTCACGTGATCTGCCTGCTCGGCCTTCCAAAGTGCTGGGATTATGGTCATGAGCCACCTGTCTAGCCAGTTTTTTTGCCTTTTTAATTCTTAAGGTTGCTCAACAAATTATTTGCTGAGACAAGAATAGGGTTGGAGTGTTCATTTATTTGTGGCAATTTTATTGGGACATAGAAAGGAAAAGTGTTAGAATTGAGGGATCAGATCTGGTAAGTGGTAAATTGTATGTGTTTAAGGTGTCTTATACTCAGTCTACAGTTAGCATCGCTCCTTCCTCTGCCTGGCCCCCCTCCTCTAACTTCTAGACTCTAGTTTAAAATGAAGCTATTCGGCTCTGCTCAGACCGGTATGTGGAAGGGAGAAAGGTAAGATTCTTCAGTCCTGTGAAATCACATCATTCAGGGAGGTTTGGGCATTGCCTTTTGGAACTGACAGGGTCCAGGAGTGTCTGAGGCTCTACTCTGTTTCGTTAGGACCCCTAAAGGGGAGAAAGGTATACTTGGGGCACTTAAACTAGGAAAGGAGTTTTGTGAAATCATATCAGGTATCTTTGACCTTTATTGAAAGAGTCAGGCCGGGCGTGGTGGCTCCTGCCTGTACTCAGTACTTTGGGAGGCCAAGGCAGGTGGATCACTTGAGGCCAGGAGTTTGAGACCAGCCTGACCAACATGGCAAAACCCCGTCTCTACCAAAAAATACAAAAAAATTAGGTGGGCATGTTGGCGTGAGCCTTTAGTCTCAGCTACTTGGGAGGCTGAGGCAGGAGAATTACTTAAACCCGGGATGCAGAGGTTGCAGTGAGCTGAGATCACGCCACTGCACTCCAGCCTGGGCAACAGAGCAAGACTCTGTCTCAAAAAAAAAAAAAAAAAAAAGAGTCAGAAGTTAATTGACTGAGCATCTCATAGTGTTCTCTTTCCAGCTTTCCTATGGATTTTCTGAGAGTCTTTGAGTAAGGAGGAACTAACCTTCTCAGGTATGTTTTCGCTATCTGGTCATCCTGACTGCTGCTTCTTTGCAGTGTCTTTTCTCCCTACTGTTCTTCTCTGCTGCTTCTGTATCTTCCTTGTTTTTCTTTCCTTCTCCACAGTACTCAAGACCAACTTCTGAAGTCCTCTGTTTCAGACCTGTGTATGTAGATACAGTTTCTATAGAGTTACTGTAAATGTTGCATAGTGAAAAGAGTAAGTAGCCACTGTTTACCATTTGTAGGTTGGCTCTTCATGCCTCTAAGATTCCTTATTTTGTTATCATTTCTGTTATTGAACATCTTTAAAGAAGTTCTTAGGTAGTAGAAAGTGCTTGCACTAAAAATAACTTTTCAACATTTTCCTTATCTATTAAGCTACTTTCTCCATTCATTATCTTGAACAATACCATAATATCTTCATAATACATGGATTTTTTAATTTAATTTTTGTCAAAATTGTACATGTACATGGTTTAAACAGTCAAATAGTTCAGTAGAGCTTGTAACACTAAATAATAGTTTCCTCTCCCGACCCACTTTTTTTTTTTGAGATGGAGTTTCGCTCTGTTGCCCAGACTGGAGTGCAGTGGTGCGACCTCGCCTCACCACAACCTCTGCCTCGCGGGTTCAAGTGATTCTCCTGCCTCGGCCTTCTGAGTAGCTGAGATTACAGGTGCCTGCCACCATGCCTGGCTAATTTTTTGTATTTTTAGGAGAGACGTGGTTTCGCCACGTTGGCCAGGCTGGTCTCAAACTCCTGACCTCAGGTGATCCTCCTGCCTCAGCCTTCCAAAGTGCTGGGATTACAGACTTGAGCCGCTGTGCCCAGCCTACTTTTTGTATTTTTAGTAGAGACAGGGTTTCACCATGTTACCCAGGCTGGTCTAGAACTCCTGGCCTAAAGCAATCCGCCCACCTCAGCTTCCCAAAGTGCTGGGATTACAGGTGTGAGCCACTCACTGATCCTGGCCATCACTATATTTATTTTTTCTTTTCTTTTCTTTTCTTTTTTTTTTTTTTTTTTTTGAGACTGTGTCTTGCTCTGTCGCCCAGGCTGGAGTGCAGTGGCACGATCTTGGTTCACTGCAACCTCTGCCTCCTGGGTTCAAGTGATCCTCCTGCCTCAGCCTCCCAAAATATTGGGATTACAGTTGTGAGCCACCACACCTGTCCAATTGTACTTCTTTATTATGGACTTTGAGGCTCTAGGTCTCTTGTATCATCAACCTCCCCCTACTCCTCCTCTTACTCACTTTATCCTCCCAATATAGTTTGCTCATAATTTTTGGTTAGGCTAATATCAAGATTTATATTAATAAAATTATGTTAGTATTATTCTCAACTGAATAGGGAGTATGATATACTAATATTTTCTTTACTCTTTTTATTTATTTATTTATTTTTTGAGATAGGGTCTCTCTCTGTCACCCTGCCATAGCAGGATCACAGCTCACTGCAGCCTTAACTTTTTGGGCTCAAGCAACCTTCCCACTTCTACCTCCTGAGTAGCTAGGACCACAGGTGTGTGCCACCAGGCTTGGCTAATTTCTAAATATTTTGTAGAGGTGGGGGTCTCACTACATTGCCCAGGCTGGTCTCAAACTCCCGGCCTCAAGTGATCTTCTCACTTTGGCCTCCCAGAGTACTATGATTACAGGAATGGGCCATTGCATCCTGCCTGTGGTAACATATTCTATCTTGTATAACTTTTTTGTCTTCCCTGGCATTAATAATTTTTGTTACTGTTTTTATTAGCATGGCTTTTTGTATCCTTATCTCTTGTTCATGCCCGGATTATCCGGTAGAAGTATGATTCTCCTCTCCTGGGTACTGTCTATGTCGTCCAGCATGAGCTGGTTGCTCTTTATGTCTGTTCACAGCTCTTGTCCTGGGATCTTCCTTCACCTTTTTCCTGGGATTTCCCTTTGCTTCTCTGTATTGAACCCTAGTTTCTGGATCCCATATCTCTACTGCCAACTTTCAGGTCTTCAATTGTGGTAGCTCTCCTTACTTTGATCCTGGAGCATCCTGCGAACTCTTTGCCTCATGTAGATTTCAGCCTTTGAGGTCTTCTCTTTGTTCTTTTTTAAAGTACAGGTTGAGCATTCCAAACCTGAAACTCCAAAATGCAAAATGCTCCAAAATCTGAAACTTTTTGAGCACCAACATGATACTCAAAGGAAAAAAAAATGATTGGAGTATTTCAGATTTTGGATTTTTGAATTTGGAATGCTCACTGGTCAGTATAAAGCACATAGTCCAAAAACTGAAAAAGTTTAAAATCTGAAACACTTCTGGTCTCAAGCATTTTGGACAAGGGATACTCAACTTGCAGTATAAACCGTAGTGATAGAATCGTAGACTGTTAGAGGTGGAAGGGACTTTCAAGCTTACCTAGTTCTAACCCTCCAGCTCCCTGGCACCTGGAAATCCTAGAAGACCATAGATTGTTCAGCCATCCCACCCCGTACTGCCCCCCGAACCTGTTTTCTGACATCCATTCTTGTCTCTCTAGTACACCAATAATGTGGGCTGAAGAGTCAGACAGTCTTTAATATTAGGCTCCACTCAATCCCTTGGCTGTGTAACTTTTGGCAGGTTTCTTAATCTTGTGGTCTCTTTCTCATCAGTAATATGGGGATTATAAACTTACATTACAGAGATGTTATAAGGATGGGAACTAATGCAGATAAAGCAGCTTTACAAGGCTCTAAGCCTTGGCACAGAGGAGGCCCTAAGGCATAGCTCTGGTTATTTCCATCTTGGATCTTAGCCTGTGTTTTTACAAATCAAAAAGTGTCACATGAATTCAAAACACTGGAGCTGCACCAAACATTGATGTTCTAGGAGATGGTTCTTTTATTTCCAGACCACGTATAGTAATTTCATTAAGTACTCTTAGGTAGAATTAATTGAAGTAATTTTAATTATTTAATGTTTTAAAATTAATATCATTTATAGAGATATTTGTTAATTCTTGTTTATGTGCTATTTGTTCCACTCAATATTAGTGTGTACTTTTTCATGTGTTGATGCCTGCCACACATTTATCTTGTAAACCAGCCTCCTTCTAGACAGACATTTTCTGTTTTTCGCTTTACTATGGCACAGCTATTTTATTTAAAAAATGGGACCTTTAAATCTATTTTTTTAGGATCTACTTTTTTTTTTTTTTGAGACAGTCTTGCTCTTTCGCCCAGGCTGCAATGCAGTAGTATGATCTCAGCTCACTGCAACCTCTGCCTCCTGGATTCAAGCAATTCTCCTGCCTCAGCCTCTCAAGTAGCTGGGATTACAGGCGCACTACCACGCCCAGCTAATTTTTGTATTTTTAGTAGAGATGGCGTTTCCCCATATTGGCTAGGCTGGTCTTGAACTCCTGTCCTCAAGTGGTCCGCCCACCTTGGCCTCCTGAAGTGCTGGGATTATAGGTGTGAGCCACTGTGCCTGGCCAGGATCTCCTTCCTCAAATGAGATGAAGACTACAGATTTGAACAGTATATGGCTTTAGTTGCACATTGTGGTGGATTAAATTAAATTCCAAATTCGAAAGTAGGTCTTCCTCTTCTTTTTTTTTGAGACAGAGTCTTGCACTATCGCCCGGGCTGCAGTGCAGTGGCGCTATCTCAGCTCACTGCAACCTCTGCCTCCCAGGTTCAAGTGATTCTCCCGCCTCAGCCTCCCGAGTAGCTGGGATTGCAGGTGCCCCAGCTGCAATTGCAGGCGCCCACCACCACGCCTGGCTAATTTTTTGTATTTTTAGTAGAGACAGAGTTTCACTATGTTGGCCAGGCTGGTCTCGAATGCCTGACCTCATAGATCCACCCGCCTCAGCCTCCCAAAGTGCTGGGATTACAGACATGAGTCACTGTGCCCAGCCAAAAATAGGTCTTCTTAAAAGCCCTGTTCTGTCAGCTGGAGAGTTCTGTTACCTGCTATCTCTGTTTTTTTGGTTCTTTTTTTTTTTTTTTTTTTTTTGAGACAGAGTCTCTGTCACCCAGGCTGCAGTGCAGTGGCACCATCTTGGCTCACTGCAACCTCCGCCTCCTGGGTTCAAGCGACTCTTGTGCCCCAGCCCCCCGAGTGGCTGGGATTACACGCTCATGCCACCACACCTGGCTAATTTTTGTATTTGTAGTAGAGATAGGGTTTCACCATGATGGCCAGGCTGGTCTCGAACTCCTGACCTCAAGTGATCTGCCTGCCTTGGCCTCTCAAAGTGCTGGAATTACAGGCATGAGCCACCACGCCTGGCCATCCTGCTGTCTCTTTTGTTCCCACCTTTCCTGTGCTGTAGTATTAATTGGATTTCCTAATGACTATTTTGAGGACTGTAATCTTCAATTATCATCTAAATATTAAAGAAAAACATTATTTTAGTACTATTTTTCTATAGTTTTTCCAATTTTAATTAAAATTTTTTATTTTTTTAATTTATTTTTTATTTTATTTTATTTTTTAGACAGTCTTGCTGTGTTGTTCAGGCTGGTCTCAAACTCCTGGCCTCAAGCAATCCTTCTGCCTCAGCTTCCCAAAGTGTTGGGATTATAGGCGTGGCCAAGTTTTTCTAATTTTTAAAAAGCTGGCTATCTGCATTTATAGAAATAGTGTGTAGCAGAGATCAGCAGACTTTTTATGTAATAGACCAAACACTAAATATGCTTTGCAGGCCATACAATCTGCCACAGTTACACAGTTCTGCTCTTGTAGCAGGAAAGCAGACATAGACAATATATAATGAATGGCCTAGCTATGTTCTGAAAAAACCTTGTTTACAAAAACATGTGAAGAGCTAGATTTGGGCCCCAGGACATAGTCTGCTCACCCTTGATCTGAACCACAGATTGAAATTTGGTGGGCAGAATGGTCCACAGGTGGTCAGGCATGGTGGCTGATGCCTGTAATACTAGCACTTCAGGAGGCCAGGGTAGGAGGATCACTTGAGCCCAGGAGTTTGAGACCAGCCTTGGCAACATTGTGAGACTCCATCTCCACACACACACACACACAAACACACACACAAACACACACTAACTGGGTTTGGTGGTGTGCACCTGTAGTTTTTGCTACTTCAAGAGGCTGAGGCTGAAGTGGGAGGATTGCTTGAAGTGGGAGGTCAAAGCTGCAGTTATCATGCCACTATACTCCAACCTGGGTGACAGAGTGAGACTGTCTCAAAAAAGAAAAAAAGAATGGTCCACAAGCCACAGTAAAGAACCAAGTGTATAAAAATTTAATGTGAGAGAATTCTGCTCTGATTCACACAGAAATTCATACATATGTTCCTGCCATCTAGAGAAGCCTGTGTAGCTGGGCTACTGGAACAGAGCCACTGACCTGCCCTGCTGTTCTTTGATGAACTAAATGATGATGTGCTATGGGCTCTGGAAGAAAGTGGCTGACAGCAGAGTTAGGCAGGCATTTCAGAAAGTCATTCTGGCACCCTTGGAACTTTTATGGAGTTTTCTGCAGCAACAGCCCTGTCTGGTACATCAGTTGACAACTCAGGTCTCCTTGGGTCTTGCTTGTCAGGCTTTGGCACTTAAGTGGAAAGAAAAAGAATAAGCATTAAGGAAAGCGAGAGCACAGCAGAATCAATTTCATAGTCTCTCATGGTTTCTGCCATGGGAGAAAAATGGGCATTATACTGCTCACAGGCAGAATAAAGACTCACTGGAAACATTGCTAAGCTGCCTTCTCCAGAAGATGTCAGCGGGGCAGTTGCGTCAATTGGCGTTCCCTGAACCCTGAGCCCAGCTTTGGGGTACTCTTTGCTTCCCACCCGTGAAGTGACAGTGAGCAGACCCTCAACCTTCTGCTTTCTCCCACCAAAATGAGTGAGTTTTTTAGTATACTTTCTAATAACACCATTACTCTGTGACTACTCTCTAATAGTGACTCAAATTCTGTTATAAGCTTCCTGAAGAGGAGAGTAGGCATCTTCTAAAAAGTAAAAGAACAGCATTAGAATGACAGAATTTTGGAATTAACAGTTTTGCGCTATAAGAACAGGGAGGGTTATCGTAGGTATAACTAATTAAATCTTTTTTTTTTTTTTTTGAGATGGAGTCTCACTTTTTCGCCTAGGCTGGAGTGCAGTGGCACGGTCTTGGCTCACCGCAACCTCTGCCTCCTGGGTTCAAGGGATTCTCCTGCCTCAGCCTCCTGAGTAGCTGGGATTACAGGTGTGTGCTGCCACACCTGGGTAATTTTTTGTATTTTTAATAGAGACGGGATTTCGCCTTGTTGGCCAGGCTGGTCTTGAACTCCTGACCTCAAGTGATCTGCCTGCCTCGGCCTCCCAAAGTGCTGGCATTACAGGCATGAGCCACCCACACCCAGCCAACTAATTATCTTTTATACCAGATCCCACTTTTTACTTAGTGCTGTTAGCATAGCAGTTTTTATAAACATTCTTCAGGTAGGACCTGTTTGCCTTGATATCAAAGAGATGGAAGGAGTTGCTCACTTTTGTTCCCAGCCTTCTTTCTAGAAATCTGCCTTCCTTCTTCCTATCAAATGTTAGCGGAGCACCGTCTCTTCTTTAGCCGTCACTGCTTGCCTTGTACAGTGAAGGAAGTCTGGTGAGCAGCAGTCCAGGAACTGCCCACGGGTACCCTGGGTTGGGGGTTTTCCTAGGCCTTTACACAGACCGCAGAATTTATCCTTGATATATGCTGTCATGTGGTTTGGGCATTTACTAGCATTGAACTTATTTGAGTAGACAGCAGTGTAGTTTCAACCTGTTTTTTATAATGTGTAAATTTGGATGCTTTTATAGGTAGAAGCCACTCATTCTTCATCTACCCTTTTTTCAGTATCTGGCACCAATTCTGACCCAGTCATTTGTGATCCCTGGCTCTTGTGATATGCTGAAGATTTCCAGGCAGTTTTTGTGGAACACCTCCCCGTCCAGCTCTAATCAAGCACCATATAAACAAGAAATTGCCTGGTCAAATCTGTGAGGACTGTATTCTGACTGCCAAAGAGATCAATACTGACACCAGAATGGCAGCTACTCTCAAGTCATTAAAACTTGTAAGATACCGAGCATTTTGCAGTCCTTCTGCCTTTGGTGCAGTCCGAAGTGTGTCATACTGGAATGTGAGCAGCACACAGCATGGGGGACAGGACCCTCCAGAACACATTAGCCTCTGCCATTCTGCCAAAAAAGTTAAGAACATATGTAGCACCTTCTCTTCTCGGAGAATCCTGACAACCAGCAGTGCCCACCCAGGTTTGGAATTCAGCAAGACTTCTTCCTCTAAGGCCAGTACATTGCAGCTGGGCTCACCCAGGGCCACAGGAGTTGATGAAGAGGACGTAGAAGTGTTTGATTCCTTTGAAAACATGCGAGTTTTCCTACAGCTAAGACCAGAATACCGTGTTCACAGCTATAATGCATCTGAGACTTCTCAGCTCCTGTCTGTTTCAGAAGGTGAACTAATTTTGCACAAAGTCAGAGTTAATCAAAATAATCTCCAGGCTCAAGTCATTGTTGATTATTTGTGTAAGCTGAGCTCTTTGCCTGCAGAGCAGCATCCTGTCTTGCTGGGCAGTACCAGCTTTGCTCTGCTCTGCCAGCTGAGTGTGAAGAAGATACAGCTCTTTGATACCCAAGATCTGATCAATGTTTTGAAAGCTTTTGTCATTTTAGGAATCCCTCACTCCCATTCAATGCTAGATGTGTATGAGACCAAGTGTTGCCATCAGGTATGGGAGATGAATATGGATCAGCTCCTTTTGGTGGCTGATCTCTGGAGGTACTTAGGCCGCAAAGTACCTAGGTTTTTAAACATTTTTTCTAGTTATCTTAATTTGCACTGGAAGGATCTATCCTTGTCTCAGCTAGTTCACTTAATTTATGTTATAGGTGAAAATCGTCAGGTATCCCAGGACCTAATGCAAAAATTGGAATCATTGATCCTTAAATATATAGATTTGATCAATTTGGAGGAGGTTGGTACCATCTGTTTGGGGTTCTTTAAATCAAGTACTAATCTCTCTGAATTTGTCATGCGGAAAATTGGAGACTTGGCTTGTGCTAACATTCAGCATCTGAGTAGTCGCTCCTTAGTGAATATTGTTAAAATGTTCCGTTTCACTCACGTGGATCACATCAATTTCATGAAGCAGATTGGAGAGATAGCTCCTCAGCGAATTCCTTCCCTGGGAGTTCAAGGTGTCATGCACCTGACTCTTTACTGCTCGGCCTTACGCTTCCTGAATGAAGGAGTAATGAATGCAGTGGCTGCGTCTTTGCCTCCTAGAGTGGCACACTGTCGAAGTAAAGATGTTGCCAAGATTCTGTGGTCATTTGGAACTCTGAATTATAAGCCACCCAATGCAGAAGAATTTTACTCCAGCCTGATAAGTGAGATTCACAGAAAGATGCCTGAATTCAACCAGTACCCAGAACACCTGCCCACCTGCCTGCTGGGCCTGGCATTTTTGGAGTACTTTCCAGTAGAGTTAATTGATTTCGCTCTCAGTCCAGGGTTTGTCAGGTTAGCTCAGGAGAGAACTAAGTTTGACCTCCTTAAGGAACTATATACCCTCGATGGTACAGTTGGCATTGAGTGTCCAGATTACAGAGGCAATCGTCTTAGTACTCACCTTCAGCAAGAGGGGTCTGAATTGCTGTGGTATTTAGCAGAGAAGGATATGAATTCAAAGCCTGAATTCTTAGAAACTGTCTTTTTACTGGAGACCATGCTGGGGGGGCCCCAGTACGTCAAGCACCATATGATTTTGCCTCATACCCGATCTTCTGACTTAGAGGTCCAGCTTGATGTTAACCTGAAGCCATTACCATTTAATAGAGAAGCCACGCCGGCTGAAAATGTAGCCAAATTAAGGCTTGAGCATGTGGGAGTCAGCCTTACAGATGATTTGATGAATAAGTTACTAAAAGGGAAAGCAAGAGGACATTTCCAGGGCAAAACTGAGTCAGAGCCTGGGCAGCAGCCCATGGAGTTGGAGAATAAGGCAGCTGTACCTCTGGGGGGCTTCCTTTGCAATGTAGCAGATAAATCAGGGGCCATGGAGATGGCTGGCCTGTGCCCCGCAGCCTGCATGCAGACCCCAAGAATGAAGCTGGCTGTTCAGTTCACAAACAGGAACCAGTATTGCTATGGCTCCAGGGATCTCCTTGGACTGCACAATATGAAGAGGCGGCAGCTGGCTCGGCTTGGCTACCGTGTGGTAGAGTTATCCTACTGGGAATGGCTCCCACTACTGAAACGAACTCGCTTAGAAAAGTTGGCGTTTCTTCATGAGAAAGTATTCACCTCTGCTCTCTGAAGGGCATTTAGGGGCATTTCTATGGCAAAGCTATAGGTGTATACTGTACCAGGTGTTGCAAAATGATTATAAAAGCCAGAATGTAAGTTTGGCGATAAAATAGTGTGTTGAGGAGACTTAATTGTATCCAAGGCAGGTTAGAGCTAGTGTATGTTACTGTGAATTGTAATGTAGTTGGATTGTACAAATTACTGCAAATGTATACATGTTACTCTTAGTAAATAATAAACATCTTAATATGTCCTACGGTCAAGTAAGTCCTTGTTGGATTTTTCTTTCTGTTTACCAGCCTTATGTCACAGAGTTTTTAGAATAAAAGTATAGTCAGACATTATATAAAGCCAATTTTTAAAAATTTTATTCTTTTCTGGAGACCCTCCCCCCACCCTTACAGATTTTTTTTTTTTTTAAAGCCAGTTTTTTTGTTTGTTTTTTGAGATGGAGTCTCGCTCTGTCACCCAGGCTGGAATGCAGTGGCACAATCTCAGCTCACTGCAACCTCCGCCTCCCAGATTCAAACAATTCTCCTGCCTCATCCTCCCGAGTAGCTGAGACTACAGGCGCGTATCACTACACCTGGATAATTTTTGTCTTTTTAGCAGAAACGGGGTTTCTCCATGTTGACCAGGCTGGTCTTGAACTCCTGACTTCCGGTGATCCGCCTGCCTTGGCCTCCCAAATGCTGGGATTACAGGTGTGAGCCACCGCGTCTGGCCTTTTTTTTTTTTTTGAGACGGAGTCTCCCTCGGTTGCCCAGGTTGGAGAGCAATGGCGCGATCTTGGCTCACTGCAAGCTCTGCCTCCCAGGTTCAGGCAGTTCTCCTGCCTCAGCCACCTGAGTAGCTGGGGTTACAGGCGCCCACCACCACGCCCAGCTAATTTTTGCATTTTTATTTGAGATGGGGTTTCACCATGTTGTTCAGGCTGGTCTCACACTCCTGACCTCAGATGATCCACTCACCTTGGCCTCCCAAAGTGCTGGGATTACAGGCATGAGCCACTGTGGCTGGCCTATACCTTGTTTTAAAATAAGAATCTCATGCTGGATGTGGTGGCTCATGCCTGTTATCTCAGCCTTTAGGAGGCCAAAGTGGGAAGATTGCTTGAGTCCAGGAGTTTGAGACCAGCCTGGCCAACATAGTGAGACCTTGCCTCTGCAAAAAAATAAAATTAGCCAGGCGTGGTGGTGTGCCCCCGCAGTCCTAGCTACTCAGGAGGCTGGGTGGGAGGATCTGTTGAGCCTGGGAGGTTGAGGCTGCAGTGAGCTGAGATGACACCACTGTGCTTTAGCCTGGATGACAGAGCAAGACCCTAACTCAAAAAAAAAAAAAAAAGGAAAAAAAGGCCAAGTGTGGTGACTCAGGTCTGTAGTCCCAGCACTTTGGGTGATCTCTTGAACCCAGGAGTTCCAGACCAGCAACATGGCAAAACCCCATCTCTACTAAAAATACAAAAAATTAGCTGGGCATGGTGATGCACACCTGTAGTCCAGCTACTTAGGAGGCTGAGGTGGGAGGATCACCGTAGTTTAGAAGGTCAAGACTGCAGAGAGCTGTGATTGTGTCAGTGCACTCCCACCTGGCTGACAGAGTGAGACCCTGTCAAAAAAAAAAAAGGCTCTCAAAGCTTCACTTATATTTCAGGATTTTTCCTCCAACACATCTTTTCACGTGCTCTAAAATTAAAATTCTTATTCTTGTTTAGATGTGGTTGTTTGTCCTTAGTTGCTGATTCCTTTTGCTTTAAGAGCCATTTCAGAATTGGTGAACTTAATATTTTTCTTTTAGCTCCCTCTTTCACATTTCTACTTGTCTTGCATAAACTCCCCCTACCCTCATATTTTTCTTCTTAAAATTGGACCTAGAAGAACAGAATTACACAAGCACCTGTTGGGCCAATGGTTCCCAAGTCTGACGCTTAGGCAGAATGGTTTTCATAGCAAGTAGCTCAGATGAGAAGGAAACATGCTATGTGTTATATTAGGAAGTCTGGTGGGATTCAGGTTTGGTTATGTTAGAGCACAAACATAAGGAGATTGTATATATATAAGTAACATAATACAGGTAACAGATACAATATATGTGATTTGCAAATAGTTTCTCCCATTCTGTGAGTTGTCTTCACTTTCTGTTTTTAATTTTGTTGAAGCCCAATTTATTATTTTTTCTTTAGTTGCTTGTGCTTTTGGTATCATATTTAAGAAACCATTGCCAAGTCCAAGGTCAGGGAGATTTACCCCTATGTCTTTTCTCATAGTTTGAGCTCTTTATATTTAGGTCTTTGATCACATTGAGTTAATTTTTATATGTAGCATGAGGGAACAGTCCAACTTCATTCTTTTGCATGTGGATATCTAGTTGTCCCAGCATCATTTGTTGAAGAGGATATTCTTCCTGCATTGAATGGTTTTGGCATCTGTGTCAAATCAATTGACCATACATGTGGGGGGTTATTTATGGATTTTCATTTCTATTCCATTCATCTATTCTTATGCCAATACCACATAATTGGGAAGTATGAGTCCTCCAACTTTGTTATTTTTCAATATTGTTTTGGCTACTCATGGTCCTTGCACTTCCATATGAATTTTAGGATCAGTTTGCCCATTTCTGCAAGAAAAGCCTTTGGGCTTTTGATAGGGACAGTATTGAATCTGTCGTTTGCTTTGGGGAATTTTGCCATCTTGACAGTATTAAGCCTTCTAATCCATAATCATGGTATATATCTTTTAATTTATTTAGATTTTTAATTCAGGAATGTTTTATAGTTTTCAGTGTATAAATCTTACATTTTCTTAGTTTTTTGTTTTGTTTTGTTTGATATAGGGTCTCGCTCTGTCACCCAGGCTGGAGTGCAATGATGTGATCGTAGCTCACTGCAGCCTCAAATCCTGGGCTCAAGCGATCCTCTAACCTCAGCCTCCCAAGTAGCTGGTACTACAGGTGCATGCCACCATAACTGGCTAATTTTTTTTTTGTTTTTTTGAGACGGAGTCTCACTCTGTCACCCAGCTGGAGTGCAGTGGTGCGATCTCGACTCACTGCAAGCTCCGCCTCCCAGGTTCAGGCAGTTCTCTGCCCAGCCTCCCGAGTAGCTGGGATTACAGGCACCTGCCACCACGCCCAGCTAATTTTTTGTATTTTTAATAGAGACAGGGTTTCGCCATCTTGGCCAGGCTGGTCTTGAACTCCTGACCTCGTGATCCACCCACCTCGGCCTCCCAAAGTGCTGGGATTACAGGTGTGAGCCACTGTACCCCGATGTTAACTTTATTCCTAATTATTTTATTCTTTTTTATGCTATTGTAGATGCAATTGTTTTTAAAACTTCTTTTATGAGTTGTTAATTGTGAGTGTTTAGAAATACAGATGATTAATCAGGCATGGCGGCTCACACCTGTAATCCCAGCACTCTGGGAAGCTGAGGCGGGCAGACCACTTGAGGCCAGGAGTTTGAGACCAGCCTTGCCAACATGGTGAAACCTGTCTCTACTAAAAATGCAAAAATTAGCCAGATGTGGTGGCACACACCTTAGCAACTCAGGAGGCTGAAGCATGAGAATCACTTGAGCCTAGGAGGCAGAGAGGTTGCATTGAGTTGAGATCATGCCACTGTACTCCAGCCTGGGTAACAGAGCCAGAGACTCTGTCTCAAAAAAAAAAAAAAAAAAAAAAAAAAGACAGATGATTAACCTGCTATTGTGCTTAATATTCATTTGTTAGCCCTAATAATTTTTTTTGTTGCTGTGTGAATTTTTCAGAATTTCCTATATATAGGCTCTTTTCATCTGTGAATACAGTTTTATATCTTCTTTTCCACTTTGGATTCCTTTTTTTTCTTTTTTCTTGCCTTATTGCTCTGGTTGGAACTTCTAATAAGATATCGAATACAAACAATGAAAGTAGGCATCTTTGTCTTGTTCTGGATTTTAGGGGAATGTTTCCAGTCTTTCACCTACCATTGGGTATATACACATACTTTTCTTTTTTTTTTTTTTTTTTTTGAGACAGAGTTTCTCTCTGTCGCCCAGGCTGGAGTGCAGTAGCGTGATCTCTGCTCACTGCAGCTTCTGCCACCCAGGTACAAGCGATTCTCGTGCCTCAGCCACCCAAGTAGCTGGGATTACAGGAGTGTGCCACCAAGCCCGGCACCTTTTTTTTTTTTTTTTTTTTGAGACGGAGTCTCACTCTGTCACCCAGGCTGGAGTGTAGTAGCACGATCTCAGCTCACTGCAACCTCCACCTCCCGGGTTCAAGAGATTCTCCTGCCTCAGCCTCCATAGTAGCTAGGATTATAGGCACCCACCACTACGCCTGGGTGATTTTTTTTGTATTTTTAGTAGAGACAGTGTTTCGCCAAATTGGCCAGGCTGGTCTCAAACTCCTGACCTCAGGTTATCTGCCCACCTTGGCATCCCAAAGTGCTGAGATTACAGGCATAAGCCACCATGCCTGGCCAATTTTTTTTTGTATTTTTAGTAGAGATGGGGTTTCACCATGTTGCCCAGGCTGGTCTCGAACTCCTGGCCTCAAGTGATCTGCCCACCTTGGCCTCCCAGAGTGCTGGGATTATAGGTGTGAGCCACCAATACTGACCTTTTTTTTTTTTTTTTCTTTTTGAGACTGTCTCACCCTGTTGCCCATACTGGGAGTGCAGTGGCACTATCATGGCTCACCGCAGCCTCGACCTCCTGGACTCAGGTGATCCCTTTTGCCTCAGCCTTCCAAGTAGCTGAGGCAAAAAAAAAAGAAAAGAAAAGAAAAGAAAAAGGGTCTCACTCTGTTGCCCAGGCTGGAGTGCAGTGGGATGATTATGGCTCACTGCAGCCTCAAAATCCCAGGTTCAAGTGATCCTCCTGCCTCAGCCTTCCAAGTAGCTGGGACCACCTGTGGGCACACTACGACATCTGGCTAAATTTTTATATTTTGTAGAGTGGAGTCTTTCTATGTTGCCAAGGCTGGTCTTGAACTCTTGGGCTCAAGCAATACTCCTGCTTCAGTCTCTCAAAGTGTTGGGATTACAGGCATGAGCCACCACTCCCGGCTGAGTATGATGTTAACTATGGGGTTTTTATAAACCTTTTATCATGTTGAGGAAGTTATTTTTTATTTTTATTTATTTATTTTTTTGAGACGGAGTTTCGCTCTTGTTGCCCAGGCCGGAGTGCAATGGCATAATCTCGGCTAACCACAACCTCCGCCTCCCGGGTTCAAGTGATTCTCCTGCCTAAGCCTCCCAAGGAGCTAGGATTACAGGCATGCACCACCCCCAGCTAACTTTGTATTTTTAGTAGAGACGGGGTTTCTCCATGTTGGTCAGGCTGGTATCAAAAACTCCTGACCTCAGGTAATCCACCTGCCTCGGCCTCCCAAAGTGTTGGGATTACAGGTGTGAGCCACCACACCTGATGAGGAAGTTATTTTTTATTCCTAGTTTGCTGATTGTTCAATAAATATAATATGCAGCAAATATTCTTTATTTTTAAAATTTTTTCAGCACACACCACTTTTCAGATTAAGTGAACATTCTTTATTTTTATTTGTTAAACCTGGCAACTGGCCGGGTGTGGTGGCTTACATCTATAATCCCAGCACTTTGGGAGGCTGAGGCGGGCGGATCACCTGAGGTCAGGAGTTCAAGACTAGCCTGTCCAACATGTTGAAACCCCGTCTCTACTGAAAATACAGAAATTAGCCGGGCATGATGGCACGTGTCTGTAATCCCAGCTACTTGGGAGGCTGAGGCAGGAGAATCACTTGAACCTGGGAGGCAGAGGTTGCAGTGAGCTGAGATTGTGCCACTGCACTCAAGCCTGGGTGACAGAGTGAGACTCAGTCTAAAAAAAAAAAAAAAAAAAAATCTGGCAACCCTAAAAAAAAAAATAGATGGGAGAGAGGGAGGGGAGAGGGGGCAGCAAAGGTTGAAAAACAAACTGTTAGTACTATGCTCAGTACCTGGGTGACATGATTATTTGTACCCCAAACCTTAAGCATCATGCAATATACCCAGGTAACAAACCTGCACATGTGTCTCCTGAATCTAAAATAAAAGTTGAAAAAAAAAAATCTGGTAACCCTAAGAAAGATGCACCATTAAACCAGCGTGGTTTTTTGTGGGAGGAGTTGGCAGAAGAGCCTTGAATGTGTTTACATGTTGACGATAGGTTTCAGTAGTCAGAGGTAAGTTGAAAATTCAGGAGAGAAGCAAGAGCAGATGGAGTAGGCCATGGAGGAGAGGGAAAGGGTTAGGGTTAGGGTCAGGTTTTATGTTGGAGAGACTGGCCACCTCACCTGGGTTCCCGTAGAATTTTGCTGACACTGTTACTAAGGTGCTGAGTAAATGGTAGTAAAAACCTTTGTAGATCTTGTTTTGAGACTGAGTCTCTCAGGAGAAAGACGGCTTATCTGTGCCTTGTTTTGAGCCTATACATTTCTTAAACGTAAAAACTGGGCTGGGTGCGGTGGCTCACTCAACGCCTGTAATCCCAGCATTGTGGGAGGCCAAGGTGGGCGGATCACCTGAGGTCAGGAGTTCGAGACCAGCCTAGCCAACATAGTGAAACCCCATCTCTACTGAAAATACAAAAATCAGCTGGGCATGATGGTGTGTGCCTATAATCCCAGCTACTCAGGAGGCTGAGACAGGACAATCGCTTGAGCCCAGGAGGTGGAGGTTGCAGTGAGCTGAGATTGCACCATTGCACTCCAGCCTGGGTGACAGAGTGAGACTCCATCTCAAAAAAAAAAAAAAAAAAAAAAAAAGTAAAAAGGCCGAGTGTGGTGGTTCATGCCTATGATGCCAGCATTTTGGGAGGCCCAAGTGGGCAGATGACAAGGTCAGGAGTTCGAGACCAGCCTGGCCAACATGGTGAAACCCCATCTCTACTAGAAATAAAAAAATTAGCTGGGTGTGGTGGTGCATGCCTGTAATACCAGTTACTCAGGAGGCTGAGGCAGGAGAATCGCTTGAACCCAGGAGACGGAGGTTGCAGTGAGCCAAGATCGTACCATTGCTCTCCAGCCGAGGTGACACAGCAAGACTCCGTCTCAAAAAATAAAAATAGGTTGGGTGCAGTGGCTCACGCCTGTAATCCTAGCACTTTGGGAGGCCAAGGTGGGTGAATCACCTGAGGTCAGGAGTTTAAGACCAGGCTGTCAGGAGTTTAAGACCAGGCTGGCAAACATGGTGAAACCTCGTCTCTACTAAAAATACAAAAAAATTAGTTGGGTGTGGTGGTGGGTGCCTGTAATCCCAGCTACTCAGGAGGCTGAGGCAGGAGAATCGCTTGAACCCACGACGGGGAGGTTGCAGTGAGCCGAGATCGCGCCATTGCACTCCAGCCTGGGCAACAAGAGCAAAACTCTTGTCTCAATAAATAAATAAATAAATAAAAATTAAAAATAAAGAGGAAAAACTGAGTCTACTTGTGCCTAGCACATGTTAAGCCCTTAGAGGGTGACTTGGCTCCACGTGGTATAAAACTGCAGGCTTCTTTGGGGCTCTAACCTGTGTTCTGGTTTTTTTGCATACCTCTCACTGGTGGGTAACTGTGTGGGATGGGCTGGGACAACTGTCTTTCATTTTAACCAGTTGTAAGAAAAAGGCACATGAGTCAAACTTTTTTCATGGATGGACAGGTAACTCAATTTAGAAATTATAAGAAGTAGTGCACTTCTTTAAAAGCTGAAGTGCCCAATTTATGAAATTGCTCAGTGCATTGATATTCCACCCACTCTTTGAGGTGAAATGCTTTTCTCTTACTTGACAGGTAATCTTTTCTTCTTCTTTTTTTTCCCTTCTGTAACCTGTTTGAGTCTAGTCTTTAAAATATGTGTGTCTGCCAGAATTACTTTTCATTACATCTCTATGAGACTCAAAATCAGATTGTATAACGCAGCTATGGTAACTTTGTAGGCTGAAGGAAGCTGGATGCTGAGGTGTTCAGAAAGTGTCATGGTCACCTTATTCTCTTCTAAATTATCCTTCCACACTTCCCTACCCCCAGGTGCTGAACCTCAACACCAAAAACAAAAGGTTTGTTGGTTGCTTCAAGCTCCAAGGAAGCACAGACAACAACCTTCGAGACAGGGCAACCAACTCTTCCAAGTTTGCCCAGGTTTTAGCACCAAAAGTACTATGTTCTGGAAAACTCCTTAGCTGTGGGTATGCCAAGACAGTTGGCCACTCAACTCCTGGATCCCTTCTTGGCCCTTCCCTTGCACTTCCCTTTCTGAGCCCTAGTACTGGCAGCTGCAAAAAGTACTCTGAACATAAATCTCAGTCTTCTCCGCTGTTATCCTGAGACCTCAGGCATACATCAACTTTCAATACATAAAAGGAAAAGAAGAACAACTTATCCCACCAGCCTAGTATGTCGGATGTTTACATTTCTGCATGCCCACCATTACCTCTCCAACTATTTATGTATACATATTCCTAGACATAGATTTTTAACAAATGTATGATCATAATACTTTCATAATACTTTTTTTTTTTTTTTTGAGACAGTCTCCCTCTGTCGCCCAGGCTGGATGGAGTGCAGTGGTGTGATCCCAGCTCACTGCAACCTCCGCCTCCCAGGTTCAAGCCATTCTCTCACCTCAGCCTCCTGAGTAGCTGGGACTACAGGCATGCGCCACCATGGCTGGCTAATTTTTGTGTTTTTAGTTGAAACAGCATTTCACCATGTTGGCCAGGCTTATCTCAAACTCTTGACCTCAAGTGATCTGCCCACTTTGGCCTCCCAAAGTGCCGGGATTACAGGCGTGAGCCACCATGCCCAGCCTATATATACTTTTGCATTTTCCTGCATAGTTATATTTATCATTTAAGTGACATGAATGCCAAGACTAAATGTGTCACTCAAGTTTGTTTCTTACAGTGTGGGCAGTGAGCTTAACTGGAGTCTTCAGCCAAGGCTTAGATCTGGGTGAAAAATTTCAAGACTTCTGTGGAAGTAGAGTATTTGGATTTATAAGATAAAAGACTTTCTAAAGGATAACATGAAATTCTTGTGATAAAAGTGTTCTGTATCAACTGTGGTTGTGATTACCCAACTTTGCACATAGAGTAAAATTGCACTGAACTAATTAGATAGGCACACACAAATGAATGCATGCAGACCTGGTGAAATCTGAAAATCGGTGAATCATTACCAGTATCAGTAGGCTGGTTATGAAGTTCTAGTATAGCTATGCAAGATGTTACAGCCAGGCACGGTGGCTCACACTTGTAATCCCAACACTTTGGGAGGCTGAGGTGGGTGGATCACCTGAGGTCAGGAGTTCAAGACCAGCCTGGCCAACATGTTGAAACCCCGTCTCTACTAAAAATACAAAAAATAGCCAGGCATGGTGGCGGGCACCTGTAATCTCAGCTACTCAAGGAGAATCACTTGAACCCAGGAGGCGGAGGTTGCAGTGAGCCTGAAAGAGTATGTGGGATCTCTCTGTATTGTTTTTTAACAACTACACATGAGTCTACAATTATCTTTAAAAGTTTAATTAGATCTTTTAAAAAGAAACAATTTCTGGTTGGGTGTGGTGGCTCACGCCTGTAATCCCAGCACTTTGGGAGGCCGAGGCAGGTGGATCACTTGAGGTCAGAAGTTCGAGACCATCCTGGCTACCATGGTGAAACCCTGTCTCTACTGAAAATGCGAAAATTAGCCAGGCATGGGTCATGCCTGTAGTCCTACCTACTTGGGAGGCTGAGGCACAAAAATTGCTTGAACCCGGGAGGTGAAGGCTGCAGTGAGTCGAGATTGCCCCACTGCACTCCAGCCCGGGCATCAGAGTGAGACACTGTCTCAGAAAAACAGGGACTGGGTGCAGTAGCTCACGCCTGTAAACCCAGCACTTTGGGAGGCCAAGGTGAGTGGATCACGAGGTAAGGAGATTGAGATAATCCTGGCTAACACAGTGAAACCCCGTCTCTACTAAAAATACAAAAAATTAGCTGGGCATGGTGCCAGGCGCCTATAGTCCCAGCTACTCGGGAGGCTGAGGCAGGAGAATGGCGTGAACCTGGGAGGTGGAGCTTGCAGTGAGCTGAGATCATGCCACTGCACTCCAGCCTGGGCAACAGAACAAGACTCCATCTCAAAATAATAGTAATATTAAGGCCGGGCACAGTGGCTCACGCCTGTAATCCCAGCACTTTGGGAGGCTGAGGTGGGTGGATCGCTTGAGGTCAGGAGTTCGAGACCACTCTGGCCAACGTGGGGAAATCCCATTTCTACTAAAAATGCAAAAAATTAGCCGAGTGTGATGGCGCATGCCTGTAATCCCAGCTACTCGGGAGGCTGAGGTGGGAGAATTGCTTGAACCTGGGAGGTGGAGGTTTCATTAAGCCGAGATTGTGCCACTGCACTCCAGCCTAGGTGACAGAGAGAGACTCTGTCTCAAAAAAAATAAAAAATAAAAATAAACAATCTCTTAGAAAGTAGCTTTGAAATCCTTGTGAGATGCTCAGTAATACATTATACATAGTTCATTTTCCTCCTTTTGAAGAATGCCCCTCCCTCAAAAAAAAAAAAAGAATAAAAAGAGAAAAACTAAAGGAAGAAAATGCCGAAGGAAAAATGGGATTACCAGTTTATTCCTAAGTAGTTAGTACCTTGGTACTCATCTTTGATGTCTTCAGGAAGCCATTTGCCAGGAGCCCCTCATGTAGTACAGAAAAGATAGTGGGGAACACATCAGCCAGAGAAAAGGGAAATTGACCTCTTGAAGGGTGAATTGCCTCTAAGTGGTTCAGAATTGCTGTTGTCATCTAGGAGGTTAATAGCAGACTTTTCATTAGTGTCATTTCTCTCTCTGATCCACCCACCTCAGCCTCCCAAAGTGTTGGGATTAAAGGTGTGAGCCACCGTGCCTGGCTGTAACATCTTGCATAGCTATACTAGAACTTCATAACCAGCCTACTGATACTGATAATGATTCACCGATGACTTACTTCTGACCAGTAGCTTTCAACTTTTTTTTTTTTAACTACAACCTTTAGTAAGAAATAACTTTTACATCAAAACCCCAAATGAATAATTGCGTGTGTTTGTGTGTTCACATATATATGTAACTGAAACAAAACTTTCACAAAACAGTGCTCACCCTTGTATGTGGTGCATGCTGACATTTTCTATTCTACTTAATTTTTAAAAATACTAGTTATGGCTCGGTAATTTAAGTTCTTAATTCTCAACCTGCAGTTTGGGAAACACTACCTCAGCCTACTAAGTGAAGTAGTCTAAACTTTTTGGCATGACGTTCAAGGCCTTCCTCATCCGGCTCCGTTTGCCTTCCCAGCTGTGGCTCCTACTCCACCTCCATAGCTAAGTGGCATGTTCAGCATCTCCTGAACCAGCCTCACACTTCCCTCCTCTGTGCCTTGACACTTCCTGATCCCTTTCCCCAGGGCTCCTTCTCTTTTGTTCATGTTCTCACCTCTTGGCTCCTGTAGTCTACAGTCTGTGGTAGCATTAATATGGAGTGTCTGTCCCTCTTCAGAGTTGTCCATGAGATCAGGCATGTGTCCTAGTCACCCTAAGTTCACATGTTTACTCCTGTGAATTTTCCCCTGAGTTGACCAATGTTTTGGTCAAAACTTTTGACCAACGTTTTTTTAAAAAAATTTTTTTTATCAAGTCACAATAAGAAATGCATTTTATATTAGATGATATACATGCATTTGTTAAATATATTTGTACAAAACTGAAACAATTTCATGACATATCCATACTATTTGCACCTTCATATTTTGTATTCTCTTCTAATTATTTCTTTTCTTTAACCCATTACTTGATTCCAAAAACCACAAATTGAAAAACATTGATCTAGGTTATCTTTCCTTACTGTGTCATCCGCAGAATGCTCTGTTACCTTTATATTATGTATATAAATTTTTTTTTTTTTTGAGACGGAGTTTCGCTCTTGTTGCCCAGGCTGGAGTGCAGTGGCACGGTGTCGGCCAAGTGCAACCTCCACCTCCCGGGTTCAAGTGATTGTGATTCTCCTGCCTCAGCCTCCCGAGTAGCTGGGATTACAGGCGCCCGCCACCATGCCTGGCTAATTTTTGTATTTTTAGTGGAGATGGGGTTTCACCATATTGGCCAGGCTGGTCTTGAACTCTTGACCTCAGATGATCCGCCTGTCTGGCCTCCCAGAGTGCTGGAATTACAGGCATGAGCCACCACGCCTGGCCTTTTTTTTTTTTTTTTTTTTCAGATGGGGTCTCACTCTGTTACCCAGGCTGGAGTGCAATGGTGCGAACTTAGCTCACTGCAACCTCCACCTCCCGGGTTCAAGCATATATTCTATTATATAATCACTGTTAGAAAGAAGTCTTTATTGTCTCATGACTCACAGAGAAGGCCGTTCATTTCATTTCTTATTTTTCCCACAAGAAGATTTGTAGAGAATGTTTATTGCAGCATTTTTTTCATAGTAAAAAATTTTAAACAACATAAGTAATAGGGCAGTGGAGAAACTGTTTTAGTCATACAATTAAATATGAGGAAGTTAAAATGAATACACCAAATGTAAACATTTCAATATGGAAAACCTTAATATAATGCTTAATGGAAAAGCAAGTTGCAAGATGATACACATAATATATTATCATTAAGGTATATTAAAATACATGACTACTATATGTAGTTTATATATATATATGCATACCTATACTGATTTGAATGACAGACAACATTAGATAAAGCTTACCTTAGCCGGGCAAGGTGGCTCACACCTGTAATCTCAGCACTTTGGGAGGCCAAGGTGGGTGGATTGCCTGAGCCCAGGAGTTTGAGAAGAGCCTGGGCAACATGGTGAAACCCCATCTCTACCCAAAAAACCCCCAAAAATTAGCCGGATGTGGTGGTGCGCGCCTGTAGTCCCAGATACTCGGGAGGCAGAGGTAGGAGAATACCCATCACCAGAGCCCTGGAAGTTGAGGTTGCAGTGAGCCGAGATTGCACCACTGCTTTCCAACCTGGGCATGGGAGTGAGAGCCTGTTTCCCCCCCCCAAAAAAAATAAGAAAAAAAAAGAGCTTACCCCTTGGCAAAAAGAGAGAGGAAATAGGATAGGTGCTGGGTTTTGTTTTTATCTTTTAAATATTGCTTTTAACACTGAAATCAGAAGCAAACATAGCAAAATGTTAACATTTGCTAAATCTAGGTGGTAGGTACAAGAGTGTCTACTATTTTATATTCTTTTTTTTTTCTTATAAACTGTATTGCCATCTTACAATGCCATTATTATCTGTCTCCAAGCTACTTCTCTGAAAGCAGGGCACATTAGCCACAATCTGAGGTTTTAGATTAAGTTATACTCAAGCCTTGTCTTTCTTGTACTTAGATGCCACATCTGGAGAAAGTGGCTATGCTTTGTAAGTACTGGACAGTGTTTGCAGTGAGTTCAAGTTACATGGCCATTTCCTCAGCAGGACTAGGGAGGCCGTCTTTCTGGGCTAGGCTGTTTGCATTTTCATATGTTGAGCCATTATTTTTTTTCTGTTAAGGCAGAAGGCATCTGACCTTAAAAGTCCAGGGTATTGGAACAAGATAGATGATGAGATTATACCTATTAAAGACTTTGATAGCAACCAGGTTCTTACGGAATCCTACTGTTTGGACATCACTGTTTCCCACAGAAACATATCATTTGTAAGATATTTTTAAAAAAGATCTGCCATTCTCCTGTGACAACACACTCATTCGTTTCAATTTGCATATTTCAATTTGATCTTCAGTCCTGAGTTGTTTTCAATCACTTTTTCCCCCAATCATTCTTTATTATTATTAATTATTTAATTTTTTTTTTTGTAGAGACTGGGTCTCGCTATGTTGCCCAGGCTAGCCTTGAACTTCTGACCTCAAGCAATCCCCCTGCCTTGGCCTCCCAAAGTGCTGGAATTTATAGGTGTACACAACCCCACCCAGCCATTTCTTTTTTTTTTTTTTTTGAGACAGTCCCACTCTGTCACCCAGACTGGAGTGCAGTGGCGCTATCTTGGCTCACTGCAACCTCCGTCTCCAGGGTTCCAGCAGTTCTCCTGCTTCACTCTCCCAAGTAGCTGGGATTACAGGCACCTGCCACCACACCCGGGTAATTTTTTGTATTTTTAGTAGAGACGGGATTTCGCCATGTTAGCCAGACTGGTCTCGAACTCCTGACCTCAAGTGATCTGCCCGCCTCAGCCACCCAAAGTGCTGGGATTACAGGCATGACCAATCACGCCTCGTTTCACCCAGCCATTTCTTTGTTATTATTATTATTAATACACCTTATAATTTAGAGCAGTTTAGATTTACCTAAAAATTGAGTATTATTAATGCTATTAACATCTTAGTGCGGTACATTTCTTATAACTAATGAGCCAATATTGATTAATTATTATTAAGTTTATAATTTAAGGTTCATTCTTTGTGCTGTATAATTCTTTGTGTTTTGTTTTTGTTCTGTTTTGTTTTGAGACAGGGTCTCACTCTGTTGTCCAGGCTGGAGTGCAGTGGCGTGATCTCGGCTTACTGCAGCCTCTGCCTCCTGGGCTCAAGTGATTCTCCTGCCTCAGCCTTCAGAGTAGCTGGGATTACAGGCATGCGCAACCATGCCCAGCTAATTTTTGTATTTTTAGTAGCATCGGGTTTTCACCATGTTGGCAAGGCTGGTCTCGAACTCCTGGCCTCAACTGATCCTCACGCCTTGGCCTCCCAAAGTGCTGGGATTACAGATGTGAACCACCACGCCCAGTTTTTTTTTTTTTTTTTTTTTTGAGACAGTGTCTCACTCTATTGCCCAGGCTGGAGTGCAGTGGCTCGATCTCGGCTCAGTGCAACCTCTGCTTCCCAGGTTCAAGCGATTCTCCTGCCTCAGCCTCCCCAGTAGCTGGGATTACAGGTGCCCGCCACCTTGCCCGGCTAATTTTTTATCTTTAATAGAGATGGGGTTTCATCATGTTGACCAGGCTGATCTCGAACTCCTGACCTCAAGTGCTTTGCCCGCCTTTGCCTCCCAAAGTGCTGGGATTATAGGCGTGAGCCACCACGCCCAGCCTGTGTTGTATAATTCTATAGGTTTTGAATTACAGGTTTTGAATATATAGGTTTTGAAATGTATAATGTCATGTATCTACCATTACAGTGTAATACAGAATAGTTTCACTGCCATTTCATTTTTATCTCTATACTCCAGTGCCTAGCACAGGGCTTGCAAATGTTCCATGAATGTGCAATAATATCCCATCTAAAATTAAATATGAGCAAAATAAATTCAGTAGTACAGTACATTTAAAGAACAATATGCTACAACCAAATAGAATCTCTCCTGGGAATAAAAAGGATGGTTTAAAATTAGAAAAAAGTGTTAATGTATCCCATTAGTCTGTCAGATAAGATAAATAATAAAAGACAATATATAGAGAAAAATCAGAATTCAGAGCATATTCCTGACTTCAAAAAATATGAAAATTAGAATGCTTTATTAACATAAAGATGATATTTCAATCTAACAATCAACATTATGTTCAAAGAGGCATTTTCTTTTTTTTTTTTTGAGATGGAGTCTCACTCTGTTGCCCAGGCTGGAATGCAGTGGCATGATCTCGGCTCACTGCAACCTCTGCTTCCTAGGTTCAAGCGATTCTTCTGCTTCAGCCTCCCGAGTAACTGGGGCTACAGGCTCACGCCACCATGCCTGGATAATTTTTGTATTTTCATAGAGATAGGGTTTCACCATATTGCCCAGGCTGGTCTTGAACTCCTGACCTTATGATCTGCCCGCCTCGGCCTCCCAAAGTGCTGGGATTACAGGTGTGAGCCACTGCGCCTGGCCCAAAGAGGCATTTTCTAATGGGCACAAACGAGGATGGCAACTGTCTTACTGTTTTGTGTAATTCCGGAAGTTCTGGCTAATGCAGTAAATGAGAGACAGAAATAAGAGTTACCATTTTGAGAAAGGAATTCTCATTATTGAGATAATAGGATTGTAAAAAAAAAAAAAGCAAAAACAACTGAAAATGTGTTAAAATCAATAAGAGTTCAATAAGACAGCTGAACATATAGTAAAGATACCAAAGTGAAAAGCTTTCCTATATAGGAATGACCAGTTAGAAAAATTAATGGGTTAAGAAGAACCTTTCATAAATAGCAACCTTAACTAGAAACATGTAGGACCCCTTGAGTAAAAAAGTGAAAATTGTACTAAAGGAAAAAATAATGACAAAAATCTACTTAAGATTTTGATCTTAAGGTAGTAGTAAAAAGTTGCAAACAAGTTGGGTTTGGTGACCCATACCTGTAGTTCCAGGACTTGGGGCACTCAGGCAGGAGGATTGCTTGAGCTCACGAATTTGAGGCTGTGGTGCACTGTAATGGCACCTGTGAATAGCCACTACACTCCAGCCTGGGCAACATAGTGAGACCCTGTCTTTAAAAAAAAAAAAAAAAAAGGCATAAACAACCTAAATGTCTCCCAAAAGGAGAATTATTTATGCCCCCCACCCTCTTTGTTTGTTTATTTATTTATTTATTTATTTATTTATTTATTTATTTATTTTTGGAGACAGGGTCTCACTCTGTCACCCAGTCTGGATGGAGTACAGTGGTGTGATCATAGCTCACTGTAGCCTCAAACTCCTGGGGTCAAGCCATACTCCTGAGTAGCTGGGACTACGGACACATGCCACCATGCCCAGCTAATATTTTTAAAATTTTTTGTAGAGATGGCATCTCACTTTGTTGCCCAGGCTGGTCTCAAATTTCTGGCCTCAAGCAATCCTCCTGCCTTGGTCTCCCAGAGTACTGGGATCACAGGCGTGAGCCCCTATGCCCAGCATATTTATACCCCACTTTGTTCCAAAATTATTTTAAGCTACCTTACATATTATGCTCTATTATATAAAAATAAATAATTCAGGTAGGGAGAAATTTGAGGGATGGGCCACAGATTTTATTCGGAGCTTTCTAACAGCCAGAGTCAAGAAGGAATGTGATCCATATTCATACCATAAAATATTGAATTGCTTGCGATAAACAACTCTTCTAGTACTGAGACCAAAGAGAAAATTTTCTTATGGGTCTCCAAGAGAGGATACCATATAGAACAGACAATGATCATTTTGTCCACTAAACAAAACAGTAACTGACTTTAAAGAGCTGTTTCTTATTGAAGTTCCTTGTCACACAGTGCCAATGAGTAGCTTGGTGAAGAGTATTTGCAGGGGGTGGTGAGGGTGGTGATGGTTGTGGCTGGGATGAACATGAGGATAGGCCGGTGCACTGGTCTGAGGGTCAGCTCAATGGAGTGGTATATTTTAGAGATTAAAATTATGGTTATCACCTGATATGTCCTGCTACTCTGGTGTCCTATGAATCGTCACAAGTCGGCCACTGAATTTTTATCAATGTGTTACATTTATTTTTGCAACTGGTGAGGATCAAAACTGCTAAGAAATCTGTCAGATAGTGGTGTGGGATAAGATCTGCAGCAGCCACGAGGAGTGCCAGACAAGAGGCAAGAGAAGCTACTTGGACCAGCACCAAGGAGCATGTAACGGGGCTGGACTGAACACTCTTCTGTAAATGTTCCCTCAACTTATATTTTGATGAGTGCTGTGGAGAGCAGGTAGTCTGTGTCTGGTCAGGGTTAGGTCCATATGCTTTTGTAGTTGACTGGGGTAGTTGACAGCCCCTGACGCGGGTGGAGAAGCCTCATGAGCTGAGATGCTTGAACAGAAGGCTGACTCGCTTCCACACAGAGGTGGGAAGAAGTAGCTAAGGGTATACCAAGATTTTCCTTAATTTCAGGTCTGATCTAACACATATTGGAAAGGGCAGTCAAGGTTTCCACATTTCTATATCATAGAGCATAATAACCACATTTAAGTCTAGAAGAACTCTTATTTTATTTTACTTTATTTTTTGAGACAGGGTCTCACTGTCACTCAGGCTGGAGTACAATAGCACAGTCATAGCTCACTGTAACCTTGCACTCCTGGCTTCAAGTGATCCTCTTGCCTCCGCCTCCCAAGTAGCTGGGACTAGAGGTGTGTGCTACCACACCTAACTAATCTTTTTATTTTTTTGTAGAGACGGGGTCTTGCTGTGTTGCCCGGGCTGATCTCGAACTCCTGGGCTCAAGTGATCCTCTCACCTTAACCTCCTAAAGTGTTCGGATTATAGGTGTGAGCCACTCCGCCCGGCTTTGTTTTTTCTTGGCTTTCTGTCAGGGCCAAGAGGGGAAGAGGGAACTGCCTGGAGCAGTGAAAAGAAAACCCTCTCAAGTCCCAGGGCCCCAACCTCAGCCATCTGCCTGGGGCCAGCACCGTTCTGCATATGTCTGTCTCTAGTGTCATCATCTATGTCAGTAGCATATTGTCTGCTTTCCTTTGGCATCCTAGGCTTGCTTTTCCAAGGAGGAATGTTTTATTTCATTGGCTTGGCTATATATTTATTTTAATGGTTCTATATTCAATTAAAGTGAATGGCTTAATTTTACATTTAAAACAAACCGACAGGAAGCTACTATGCTAGTTGGGCAGGGAAGCTGGGGGAAATGCTGCTCTAAATGAGTTCTGGTGTCCTGGCCAAAAAGAGGTAACTATAGGGCTTCTGAGGATATTTGTAGACACAATGCATCAGATACTTCATTTGTTTTTACTTATCGTGGAGAACACGAAAGGTATCAGAAGCCTGGAGACATTGTTAATATAATCTTTCAGAAAAGGAATTGTAGAAACTTTAGTCCATGTGGATGCCAGGCCAGATTCTAAAATTCTCTGGCAAAGCAAAGGTGTATGTGCCTCAAAGTGGGAAGCACTAGGAGTTTCAACACAGGCTCACAAAGAACAGGAGGCTTTAGGCCAGGGGCTTTCTACCCCATGAGATTCATGTTTCTTCTATCATGATGAACTTAAAGCCAAATAGTATAACCTACTTATGTACACACGCTAATGTGTGTAGGTCCACACACACATACACACCCTCCCCCCACCAACACACAGAATGCCCTAACAGTACTTTAAAGGAAAAAATTTTAGGTATGATAATAAAATTTATTCTCGTGTATAAATGTTTGGGTGTGACCATACTAGAAGGCATAAAGAAGTATTCAGAAGCTTTTACCATCACGCAGGAGCGCATGTGGAATGCAGACTGCTACAAATGCAGACTGACCGAGGTGGAGAGCTTTGCTCTCGGTGATGTGATTTTCAGAAATGGTGGGCATCTCTTGGTAAAGGTCTGAACAAAACAATATATGACCTTCCTCTGGCTTACATGGAAGTTCCCCTCCTAGAAAATTTAGCATATATGAAAACCATGTTTAAAAATACTTTGTGTTAATATGTAAAACTGAGTTAGGGGCTAAGCTGAGATAATAGACATTTACAAGGCCCATGACAGATCTTCACTGTGCAGCAACTATCCACTCAGATGTTGCAGGACGCTTAGTATGCCTGGCTCCTGCAAGTGGCTCCTACTGATTTTGACAGCAAAAGGGGCCCAGAGGGTGACCCTATCCCTGTCGGGCTAACAATTTTACATGGCCACGACTGTCAGGGAGAAAAGCATAAATGGCTGGCTGGCCTCACCAAGGAGTTGAGTTCCACTGGAGAGGTCTGCCACTGCGAGGGGTGTTTTCAGTGGCTTCCCTCCTTCTCCACAGAGTTACCAGAAGCCATTGGAATTGGCCATTAAAATGACTACTTGCATTAGATGTCCTTTTTTTTTTTTTTTTTTTTTTTTTTGAGACGGAGTTTTGCTCTTGTCGCCCAGGCTGGAGTGCAGTAGCGCAATCTCGGCTCACTGCAAACTCCACCTCCCGGGTTCAAGTGATTCTCCTGCCTTGGCCTCCCGAGTAGCTGGGATTACAGGTGCCTGCCACCATGCCCAACTGCTTTTTGTATTTTTAGTAGAGATGGAGTTTCACCATGTTGGCCAGGCTGCTCTTGAACTCCTGACCTCAGGTGATCTGCCTGCCTCTGTCTCCCAAAGTGCTGGGATTACAGGTATGAGCCACCGTGCCAGGCCTAGATGTCATTTTAAGGTGCTTTCCAACCCTAATATTTTCTTTCTTTCTTTTCCTTCCTTTCTTCCCTCCCTCCCTCTCTCTCTTCCCTCCTTCTCTGTCTTCTCTCCCTCCCTCCCTTCCTCCTTCACTCCCTCCCTCCCTCTCTTTCTCTGTCTTTTTCTTTCTTTCTGTCCCTGCCCAACTTACTTCCTTCTGTCCTTCCTTTCTTTTTTTTTTCTTTTTCTTTTCTTTTTTTTTTTTTAGTATTTATTGATCATTCTTGGGTGTTTCTCGGAGAGGGGGATGTGGCAGGGTCATAGGATAATAGTGGAGAGAAGGTCAGCAGATAAACACGTGAACAAAGGTCTTTGGTTTTCCTAGGCAGAGGTCCCTGCGGCCTTCCGCAGTGTTTGTGTCCCTGGGTACTTGAGATTAGGGAGTGGTGATGACTCTTAACGAGCATGCTGCCTTCAAGCATCTGTTTGACAAAGCACATCTTGCACCGCCCTTAATCCATTTAACCCTGAGTTGACACAGCACATGATTCAGAGAGCACGGGGTTGGGGGTAAGGTTATAGATTAACAGCATCCCAAGGCAGAAGAATTTTTCTTAGTACAGAACAAAATGGAGTCTCCTATGTCTACTTTCTACACAGACACAGTAACAATCTGATCTCTCTTTCTTTTCCCCACATTTCCCTTTTCTTTTCGACAAAACCGCCATTGTCATCATGGCCCGTTCTTGATGTTCGCTGTCTCTTCGGAGCTATTGGGTACACCTGCAGAAAGGCTGTCACTTCACACTTGGAAGATTGCACAGCGGCCAGGCAGAGGCACTCCTCACTTCCCAGACGGGGCGGCTGGGCAGAGGCGCTCCTCACTTCCCAGACGGGGTGGCGGCCAGGCAGAGGCGCTCCTCACATCCCAAACGGGGCAGCCGGGCAGAGGCGCTCCTCACTTCCCAGACGGGGTGGCGGCTGGGCAGAGGCGCTCCTCACCTCCCAGACGGGGTGGCCGGGCAGAGGCGCTCCTCACCTCCCAGATGATGGGCGGCCAGGCAGAGGCACTCCTCACTTCCCAGACGGGGCGGCTGCCGGGCAGAGGCGCTCCTCACTTCTCAGACGGGGTGGCCGGGCAGAGGCACTCCTCACCTCCCAGACGATGGGCGGCCGGGCAGAGGCGCTCCTCACCTCCCAGACGATGGGCGGCCGGGCAGAGGTGCTCCTCACCTCCCAGACGATGGGTGGCCGGGCAGAGGCACTCCTCACTTCTCAGATGATGGGCGGCCGGGCAGAGGTACTCCTCACTTCTCAGACGGGGCGGCCGGGCAGAGGCGCTCCTCACTTCCCAGATGATGGGCGGCCGGGCAGAGGCGCTCCTCACCTCCCAGACGGGGCAGCTGGGCAGAGGCGCTCCTCACCTCCCAGACGGGGCAGCCGGGCAGAGGCGCTCCTCACTTCCCAGATGATGGGCGGCTGGGCAGAGGCGCTCCTCACCTCCCAGACGGGGCAGCCGGGCAGAGGCACTCCTCACTTCCCAGATGGGGTGGCTGCCAGGCAGAGGCACTCCTCACTTCTCAGATGGTGCAGCCGGGCAGTGGCGCTCC
Organism: Homo sapiens; assembly: GCF_000001405.40. NCBI lineage: Eukaryota > Metazoa > Chordata > Mammalia > Primates > Hominidae > Homo > Homo sapiens. The sequence goes on along the minus strand of NC_000020.11, from coordinate 3,125,167 downwards.
TCACTTCCCAGATGGGGTGGCTGCCAGGCAGAGGCGCTCCTCACCTCCAGACGGGGCGGCCGGGCAGAGGCACTCCCCACTTCCCAGATGGGGCGGCCAGGCAGAGATGCTCCTCACTTACCAGATGGGGTGGCTGCCAGGCAGAGGTGCTCCTCACTTCTCAGACGGGGCGGCCGGGCAGAGGCGCTCCTCAGTTCCCAGACGGGGTGGCCGGGCAGCAGCGCTCCTCGCTTCCCAGATGATGGGTGGCCAGGCAGAGGCACTCCTCACCTCCCAGACGGGGCGGCTGGGCAGAGGCGCTCCTCACTTCTCAGAAGGGGCAGCCAGGCAGAGGCGCTCCTCACTTCCTAGATGGGGCAGCCAGGCAGAGACGCTCCTCACATCCCAGACGGGGTGGCGGCTGGGCAGAGGCGCTCCTCACCTCCCAGACAGGGCGGCCGGGCAGAGACGCTCCTCACATCCCAGACAGGGTGGCGGCCGGGCAGAGGCACTCCTCACCTCCCAGACAGGGCGGCCGGGCAGAGGTGCTCCTCACATCCCAGATGGGGCAGCTGGGCAGAGGCTCTCCTCACATCCCAGACAATGGGTGGCCAGGCAGAGAGGCTCCTCACTTCCTAGATGGGGTGGCGGCCGGGCAGAGGCTGTAATCTTAGCACTTTGGGAGGTCAAGGCAGGCGGCTGGGAGGTGGAGGTTGTAGCGAGCCGAGATCACGCCACTGCACTCCAGCCTGGGCAACATTGAGCATTGAGTGAACGAGACTCCGTCTGCAATCCCAGCACCTCGGGAGGCCAAGGCGGGCAGATCACTCAAGGCAGGCACTCGGCAGGCCGAGGCAGGAGAATCACGGGAGCCCGAGGCAGGGAGGTTGCAGCGAGCTGAGATCACGGCAGTACAGTCCAGCCTCGGCAACAGAGGGAGACCGAAGAAAGGGGAGAGGGGAGAGGGGAGAGGCTTTTCTTTTTTCCTTTGAGACAGGGTCTCACTCTGTCACCTAGGCTGGAATGCAGTGGTGTGATCATAGCTCACTGCAGCCTTGAACTCCTGAGCTCAAGTGATCCACCTCAGCCTCCCAAATAGTTGTGACTACAGGTGCATATCAGACATAGCAAGATCCCTACAACGTTTTGTTGTAGAGATGGGGTCTCTACAACAAGACCAGCTATGTTTCCCAGGCTGGTCTTGAACTTCTGGGCTCAAGCAGTCCTACCACCTCAGCCTCCCAAATTGTTGGGATTACAGGCATGAGCCACCACACCTGGCCTCTAATAAATTTTCTATGTCTCAATAATGATGTTTTTGACTCATTGTTTTCATTTTAATAAGAAAACATAATTGCATTGACAAGTATTAAATGACAAGGATGCTTACCACCACTATAATTATTTTTTATGACCCTTTCCATTCCGAACACTCTGTCCTTTCTCTGAGCTCAGATACTTTTGCCACTCCCTTCCTGTGGCAACCCCCAGCACAGCTGATGGGCCTTGCCTCCATTGGGTCTTTGGAACAGCTGTTGGCCAGAGAACTGGCAGTCTTTGCCAACCTGTTGAGCCTGCCATAGAAGTCTTCTCTATAATTTTTCAGTGACTAATTTTTCCCCAACATCATGTATAGGATATAAGGAAAGTCAGTGTGGACCGTGAGAGTGTGTGTGTTCAAGTTTTTGTTGCCATCCTGTTTGATTCTCTTAAGAATCAACTTCTGAAAGTTTAGAATTGAATTTTACATTTTCTAATACATAGTTTTATTTCTTATTTAAGGCTGCTTCTGATGCTTGGAAGATATCCTCTCAGCCACAAAGATGGTAATAAATCTTTGCCTCCCACAGTTCAGACCAAGAATTCACTGCAACAAGGTAAACAAAACAAATATATACACATAAATATATGCTATGTTTGTCATGTGTTTCATCATTTCCTGCCTTGTGTGTGTGGATTTGATTCAGGCTTACTGCACTTTTGCTCTTGTTACTTTAGATTCCATCAGATGGTATTTAGGTAAGCATGGGGCAGGCTCACCTCTAGAATCACACAGCGCCATGGTGAGGTGAGCTGTGACTCATTTTGTGCAGGGTCCTCTTCACTGTGCTCTTTGTTCTTTGATGATCAATCTCCAGTCTCGTCAAAGTCATAGCAAAGGTAGAAATACTTTCTCTCCCCTGCACTTCTCTCCCCAGATACTGTTTTGAAGGGAGTTTTGGTTGGATTGGGCAGGATTTTGTTGCTTGCTTTTTTTTTTGGCAGGGAAAAGGGATATGGGGTCTTGCTATGTTGCCCAGGCCTATCTAACTCCTGGGCTAATGGGATCCTCCTGCCTCAGCCTCCTGAGTAGCTGGGACTACAGGTGTGTACCAACATGCCCAGCTCAGTTGCTCATATTTTTAAGGTTGGGCAATACTTGGGGGCCCCGATCTGGGACAATTGCCCTTGGCCTTTGATCTGATCTTGGGTGCCCTGATCTGGGACAATTCAGTTTAATAGAGGAAATTTTAAAACGAGGAACCTCAGGCTTAAGAGTTTTCTTACAAGTGACAAGTTGTCTTCATTTGGATCATTGTATCTTGTGTTTTTTATTAAATCTAGATATCAGCTGATGGTTACGAAGTAGAAAATCTCATCTCTGAAGATCTCACAAAGAGAAGTCATGGTTTCAGGACAGAGTATTTCATTAAGCCACCAGTCTATGTGACAGTTTCATTTCCCTTTAATGTGGAAATCTGTAGGATCAACATAGACCTCACAGCTGGGGGAGGTCAGAACGTCACTGGCCTGGAAATGTACACATCTGCCTCATCTAGCAGAGTGTCTTGGAATACGCCCCAGTGCCGGACCCTGGGCCCAGCTGAGCCATCTGTCCCAGACAAGGAGGCGTTCACCTTGGTAGGCAAAGTCTTACTGAAAAACCAGAGCCAAGTGGTGTTTAGCCACAGGGGCTTCAAGGCCAGGCCCCCTTTTGGCGCGATGGAAGCCACACTCCCCTCCCCTGCTGTTGTGGCCCAGGAGCTCTGGAATAAAGGGGCTCTTTCCCTTAGCCACGTGGCCCACTTAAGGATCTGTATCACCCATGTGACAGGCGGCGGTATCCCTTGTATCAAGCGGTTGGAAGTGTGGGGTCAGCCGGCCAAGACCTGCTCCCAGGAAGTGATAGACAGCATCCTGCTGGTCACCTCAGAGAACCTGCCTCAGGATGTGGCTCTGCAGGCTCCAGCCTTGCCCATGGAAAGTGACTGTGACCCTGGGGACCAGCCTGAGAGCCAGCAGGCTCCCTCCAGCCTGCAGAAGCTGGCCGAGATCATTCAGGATGTGCCTGAGGAGTTCCTGGATCCCATCACCCTGGAGATCATGCCTTGTCCCATGCTGCTGCCCTCAGGCAAGGTCATCGACCAGAGCACACTGGAGAAGTGTAACCGCAGTGAAGCCACATGGGGCCGAGTGCCCAGTGACCCTTTCACGGGGGTAGCTTTTACTCCGCACTCTCAGCCCCTGCCTCACCCCTCCCTCAAGGCCCGGATTGACCATTTCCTGCTCCAGCACTCCATCCCTGGCTGCCACCTGCTTGGGAGAGCACAGACGGCATTGGCAGTGATCCCTTCTTCCATTGTTCTGCCCTCTCAGAAAAGGAAGATAGAGCAGGCTGAACATGTCCCAGACAGTAACTTTGGTGTAAATGCTTCCTGTTTTTCTGCCACAAGCCCTTTGGTCTTACCCACTACCTCAGAGCACACTGCTAAGAAAATGAAAGCCACCAATGAGCCCAGCCTGACACATATGGACTGCTCGACAGGTAATTCAGCATCCTGTGTCCGCAGCCAGGCTCATCCATCTCCTTCCCAGGAGCTCTCAGCTCTGCTGCCCTTTGCTTTGTGCTTGGCCAGCTTACATTCCCGAGGCTGTGCCTGTGCTGCCTCCTTCCCGTTTCCCATCCTGGGGCCCCTCAGCTTTGTCTTCAGACCAGGGACAACCTGGAGCCTTGGAGGGGTTCCATGTGTTCTCGTCTATTCTCATCTGTTCCGAGGCTTCAGTCTGCGTGTTTCGCTCCTCTGTTGGTGATGGTCCCATGGGCACTGTTGCCTTCCTTGGGGTCCCTTTATGTGCCCTGGCCTGGTCAACACTTTTTCCTGGGCTTGAAGCCTCTGGTCAGAGCTGCTGGGAGGAAAGATACCAGTCCCTCAAAGCAGAGAATCTCTTCTGGTGCCTTCTTTGTGTTACTCATGTGACAGTGGGCTCCTCTGGGTGTTATTTCTAACCGTCACAGAGGTACAAGGATATATTGCATGGAGGTTCTCTGTGCGCCCCCCTCACCATGTGGCATGAGGACACAGAAAAGGAAAAAGGACTAGGTCTGTGGGCCTTCCTTTCAGGAGAGGGTTACTGAAGAGAAAAGCCACACTGAAGAGGGTGCACTCAGTAAATGTGTGGACAAATTGCAATATTCTCTTTGTGTTTTTTTCTGTTTTTCTTCTTTATTGCATTTGGCAGGATCCACCAGGTAAAATTGCAACAATCTTTTTTTTTTTTTTTTGAGATGGAGTCTCGCTGTGTCGCCCAGGCTGGAGTGCGGTGGCATGATCTCGGCTCACTGCAAGCTCTGCCTTCCGGGTTCACACCATTCTCCTGCCTCAGCCTCCCGAGTAGCTGGGATTAGGCGCCCGCCACCACGCCTGGCTAAGTTTTTGTATTTTTAGTAAAGACGGGGTTTCACCTTGTTAGCTAGGATGGTCTCAATCTCCTGACCTTGTGATCCACCCACCTTGGCCTCCCAAAGTGCCGGGATTACAGATGTAAGCCACTGCACTCGACTTCTGTTTTTTTTTTTTTTTTTGAGATGGAGTCTCGCTCTGTCACCAGGCTGGAGTGCAGTGGCGTGATATTGGCTCACTGCAACCTCCGCCTCCCAGGTTCAAGTGATTCTCCTGCCTCAGCCTCTGGAGTAGCTGGGATTACAGACGCGCGCCACCACGCCCAGCTAATTTTTGTATTTTTAGTAGAGAAGGGGTTTCACCATGGTGCCCGGGATGGTCTCAACCTGTTAACCTCGTGATCCACCTGCCTCGGCTTCCTAAAGTGCTGGGATCTGCAAGCCACTGTGCCTGGCCTGCAACATTCTTGAGTATGAGATTTAAGGATCCTGGCTTCCTGCCTCTTCCCTGGGGCATTGCCAGTGATTTCTAGGGCCGGTGATGCTGCTCTCTCCTGAGGTGAGCAGCCCTGGTTCACTGGGTGACCTCTGCAGCTGAATGTGTTCAGTGTGAATACCTCAGGGCAAGCTGGATGTTGGATCTTAGGCTGAGATAGATGTTTTTTTGTTGTTGTTGAGATGGAGCCTCACTCTGTTACCCAGGCTGGAGTGCAATGGCGCAATCTCGTCTCACTGCAGCCTCCGCCTCGCAGCTTCAAGCAATTCTCCTGCCTCAGCCTCCCAAGTAGCTGGGATTACAGGCATGTACCACCACACCGGCTAATTTTTTGTATTTTTAGTAAAGACAGGTTTTCACCATGTTGGCCAGGTTGGTCTCGAACTCCTGACCTCAGGTGATTCGCCCACCTCAGCCTCCCAGAGTGCTAGGATTACAGGTATAAGCCACCGCGCCTGGCCTGAGATAGATGTTTTTATCATGTTAAAGAAGTATTGGTTATCTATTGCTAGGTAACAAATTACCCCAAAACTTACTGGCTTACAGCAACAAACATTCATTGTCTCATAACTTCTGTGGATCACAAATCCCAGCGTAACTTGGCTGGATTCTCTGCTTCAGGGTCTTCCAAGTCTGCCATCAAACTGGTGGCTGAGGCTGTGGTCATCTCAAGGATCAACTGGGGAAGCATTTACTTCTAGTCTCACCCACATCATTGTTGCAAGATTCAGCTCGTTGATGCATTGTTGGACTGAGGCCTCACTTGCTGGTTGGCTGTTGGCCCAAGGCTGCCCTCGGTTCCTTGCCTTGTGGGCCTCTCCATAGGGCAGTGTACTGTGTGGGAGCTGTGCGTTCCAGAGAGAGTGCACAGACGAGGGAAATCCATCTTTTAGAATGTAATCTTGAAAGTCACACTCCTCACTTCTATTGTATTCTTATTTTTCCCAAGGTATTTGTTAATTGCTTATTTATAATATTAAGAGAAATGATTTCTTAGCCTCCATCTTCATATTTCTTAGTTCGAGAACACAGATCAGTGACAAACTTCTGTGTAATTCAACCTAAATAATTCCTTCCTTCCTTCCTTTTTTTTTGAGATGGAGTCTCACTGTGTCACTCAGGGTAGAGTGCAGTGGTGTGATCTCGGCTCACTTCAATCTCTGCCTCCCGGGTTCAAGCAATTCTCATGCCTCAGCCTCTGGAATAGCTGGGACTATAGGTGCGTGCCAACACGCCTGGCTGATTTTTTTTCTTTTTTTTTGAGACGGAGTCTCGCTCTGTCGCCCAGGCTGGAGTGCAGTGGCGCGATCTTGGCTCACTGCCAGCTCCGCCTCCCTGGTTCACGCCATTCTCCTGCCTCAGCCTCCTGAGTAGCTGGGACTACAGGCGCCCGCCAGCACACCTGGCTAATTTTTTTAATACTTTTAGTAGAGACGGGGTTTCACTGTGTTAGCCAGGATGGTCTTGATCTCCTGACCTCATGATCCACCCACCTCGGCCTCCCAAAGTGCTGGGATTACAGGTGTGAGCCACTACACCTGGCTGATTTTTGTATTTTTATGAGGCAGAGTCTCACTCTGTCACCCAGGCTGGAGTGCAATAGCACAATCTTGGCTCACTGCAACCTCTGCCTCCTGGTCTAAGCAATTCTCCTGCCTCAGCCTCCAGAGTAGTTGGGATTACAGGTGCCCACAACCGTGCCCAGCTAATTTTTGTATTTTTAGTATAGACTGGGTTTTGTCATGTTGGCCAAGCTGATCTTGAACTCCTGACCTCAGGTTATCTACCTGCCTCAGCCTCCCAAAGTGCTGGGATTACAGGCATGAGCGATAGTGCCCGGCCTGTTAATGGTTTCTTTTTGTTTTGTTTTTTTGGAAACAGTCTCCCTCTGTCGCCCAGGCTGGAGTGCAGCAGTGACGCAATCTCTGCTCACTGCGACCTCTGCTGCTGGGATTTAAGTGATTCTCCTGCCTCGGTAGCCAAGACTACAGGCGCACAGCACCATACTGGCTAATTTTTTTTATTTTTATTTTTATTTTTTGAGACAGAGTCTCATTCTGTCGCCCTGGCTGGAGTGCAGTGTCGCAATCTCTGCTCACTGCAACCTCCGCCTCCCGGATTCAAGTGATTTTCCTGCCTCAGCCTCCTGATTAGCTGAGATTACAGGCGCTCGCCACCATGCCTGGCTAATTTTTGTATTTGTAGTAGAGATGGGGTTTCGCCATGTTGGCCAGGCTGGTCTTGAACTCCTGACCTCAGGTGATCTGCCTGCCTCAGCCTCCCAAAGTGCTGGGATTACAAGTGTGAGCCACCACGCCCAGCCCTGTTATTTATTTATTTATCTATATAGTGACGGAGTCTCGCTCTGTCGCCCGGGCTGGAGTGCACTTGTGCGATCTTGGCTCACTGCAACCTCTGCCTCCTGGATTCTAGCAATTCTCCTGCTTCTGCCTCCTGAGTAGCTGGGACTACAGGCACATGCCGCCACACCCGGCTAATTTTTCGTATTTTATTAGAGACGGTGTTTCACCATGTTGCCCAGGCTGGTCACAAACTCCTGAGCTCAGGCAATCCACCCGCCTTGGCCTCCCAAAACTCTGGGATTACAGGCATGAGCTACAGCGCCTGGCCCCTGTTAATAGATTTTAATGGTTCTGTTTGCTAGTGTTAGGATTTTTGTATTCATTAGTGGGGTTGGACTGTAGTGTGTGTGTGTGTGTGTGTGTGTGTGTGTGTGTGTGTGTGCCATCTTTGGTCAGGTGTCATTGATGATTTTTTTGTTCCATAGAAAGAATTTAGAATTTTTTCTTTTCTGTGCTGTGGAACAATTGAATAGTATTGGAATACCCACTCTGCCTGTCTAGTAGAAGTCCTTGTGATTGTCAGTGCTTGGTGCTTGTGGAGGGTAGCTCTTTGACACGTTTCCTTTTTTTTTTTGAGATGGAGTCTCGCTCTGTCACCCAGGCTGGAGTGCAGTAGTGTGATTATGGCTCACTGCAACCTCTGCCTCCTGAGTTCAAGCGAATCTCCTGCCTCAGCTTCCCGAGTAGCTGGGATTACAGGCACGCACTACTACGCCTGGCTAATTTTTGTATTTTCAGTAGAGACAGGATTTCGCCATGTTGACCAGGCTGGTCTTGAACTCCTGACTTCAGGCGATCTGCCTGTCTCAGCCTCCCAAAGTGCTGGGATTACAGGTGTGAGCCACTGTGCCTGGCCTGGCAACCTTTTCTTTTTCCTTATGGAAATTATTCTGTTTAGGTTGATCATTCTTTTAGTTTCCTATGTTCTTCTAAAAGACTATGCAAATACTATGCTTAACGTTTATTTCTGTGTCTTTGGTTTTAAGAGTAAATTCTAGTTAACATGACCTTCAGAAACTCCTGGAAACATCTGAGGCGCAGTGGGGTGGAACAAGGAAAAAGGTCCTTAGACTTCAGCGTCAGTTTGTGGAGGTCTCAGTCCTGTTGGCCTTGACAGACTTGGTGACTCAGGACCACGCTGACTAGGGCTCCTTCAAGGCCCTGAGCTGATGTCCTGTGTCCTGCAAACAGTGGACAAAAGTTTCCATTCTCCTCTTTGAGACAGCATTGCAAATTTTTCTGCCACACAGGTCCCTGGGGTCTTTCTTGGGCAGCTGTCCCCCTACCCCTTTGGCCTTCACCCTCATTCCATGGCTTGGCTTTCTGTTGATCCTACACTAAAGGTCCCCTAAATTGTGGCGTGGTCAACGTGGGGTCTTAGTTCTATTCGGTAAAAACTGCTTTGTTTTACTTAACAGGAGAGAGAGGACATGAACACCTAGAAAATGCAGATGAACCCCTCTGGGGGGTGGTGGGGTCCCCAGAAGGGTGGAGTTAGGGAAAGAGAAGACTAAGGCCGCTGGGGAGGGAATGGGGGGCAGGGAGCAGCAGTCCAAAGCTGGCGTTTGCTTGCCCCAGTTATTTTCTTGGCCAGCAAGGAGGCCTTTAGAAAGGAGGCCAGGCGCTGTGGCTCACGCCTGTAATCCCGGCACTTTGGGAGGCTGAGGCAGGTGGATCACGAGGTCAGGAGATCTCCTAGCCAACATGGTGAAACCCCGTCTCTACTAAAATACAAAAAATTAGCCAGGCGTGGTGGCGCACACCTGTAGTCCCAGCTACTTGGGAGGCTGAGACAGGAGAATCGCTTGAATCCAGGAGGCGAAGGTTGCAGTGAGCTGAGATGGCACCCCTGCACTCCTTCTCAGCCTGGGCGACAGACCAAGGCTCCATCTCAAAAAAAAAAAAAAAAAAAAAAAGGAGCGTGCAGTTCTGCAGTTGAGCCACGAGGTGGCTCATGTCTGCCCAGCAGTTTCTCCAGGAGGAGAAAAGCCTGAAGCCGGTGGGATGGGCAGGAACTGCCGGTGTTCCTAGGGCTTTACCTCCCGGTGTTCTGTCATGGTCCGCCAGTAGACATTAGGATGGAGTTTCATTACATTGATGTGTGAGATTGGAGGTGCCGTTTTTACAGCCCTCGAAGGACTTGAGGCTGTTCTCTTTTGCGGAGCCTGTCTCTGGATGTTGTGCTGTGCGCATCTCTCGACAGGTCCACTGTCCCACGAGCAGAAGCTGTCACAAAGCTTGGAAATTGCCTTGGCATCCACCCTTGGCTCTATGCCCTCCTTCACGGCACGGCTGACCAGGGGACAGCTCCAGCACCTTGGCACAAGAGGGAGCAACACTTCCTGGAGGCCTGGCACCGGCTCGGGTAACATGGGCCCCGCCATCTCCTTGGAGCCTTGGAATGGGTGGTCTGTTTTCTGTCTCTGGATGCTGGGCCGAGTCCCTGGGGGCTCTGTGGACCTGCCTGGCCAGCCTCCCCGTCAGTTCCAACACCCACCCTGGGAGAGAACCTGTTCTCTTGCCTTTTCCAGGGGTAGTTGAGGGGCTGCCTATGAACTTAAACTCCCCACAAGAAAGGCTTTCTTTAGTCAATCCTTAGTAATTCTGTGGATGTAGGGCTTGGCCACCCTCTGATGTGTTTCCTTGTGAGATCTAATGTTAATTATTTTCTCCTGAGGATTTTTGTTTCTCTTTTTTTTGTTTGTTATTTATTTATTTATTTGAGACTGCATCTCGCCCTGTTGCCCAGGCTGGAGTGCAGTGGCACAGTCTCAGCTCACTGCAACCTCCGCCTCCTGGATTCAAGCTATTCTCCTGCCTCAGCCTCCTGAGTAGCTGGGATTACAGGCGCCCGCCACCATGCCCGGCTAATTTTTTGTATTTTTAGTAGAGACGGGGTTTCACCATGTTGCCAGGCTGGTCTCGAACTCCCGACCTCGTGATCCGCCCGCCTCGGCCTCGCAAAGCGCTGAGATTACAGGAGTGAGCCACCGCGCCTGGCCTTTTTTGTTATTTTTTTCTCATCTAGCCAGTCTGCAGTCTGACATCCGGGGCACTTTATGTAAATGTGAAGAGAGGTTTGGTTGGGTTTGTCGTCCTCATCCCTTCAGATTAACACTTCCGTCAGTGTCTTAGAAAGAGCAGTGGCAGCTTATGGGCCAATTTTGCCTAAAATGAACCTTGACCCCCATTGTATGCCAGAATCTATTAGGATACAAAGCAACAGAAACTGATTGCAACGGGAGGCATTTTTTACGAGATGGAGCTCCTGCTGTGCGAAACGCCTTCTCTCTTGGCTTTTAGGCTGTTTTGCTTCTTTTCTCCTATCTTCGGTGGTCCCTCTTCAGTTTCCATTGCCAATTGCCTTCTCTACCAGCTCTGGCCCTGGACTCTCTAATCTCAATATTCTCTGTTACCCAAGTGAAAACTCACATCTCCGGCAACTGTCCATGTTCCCCTGTAGCTCCTGCTTCTCCTTGGAACTCATCCTGCCGCCCTGACAGCACTCAACATCCTCTCTCTTTTTTCTTTTTTTAAGATGGAGTCTTGCCCCTGTTGCCCTAGCTGGAGTGCGATGGCGCGATTTCAGCTCACTGCAACTTCCGCCTCCTAGGTTCAAGTGATTCTCCTGCCTCAGCCTCCCAAGTAGCTGGGATTACAGGCACCCGCCACCACGCCCAGCTAATTTTTGTATTTTTAGTAGAGATGGGGTTTCACCATGTTGGCCAGGCTGGTTTTGAACTCCTGACCTCAGGTGATCCATCTGCCTCGGCCTCCCAAAGTGCTGGGAATACAGGCATGAGCCATCATGGCCAGGCTCAGCATCCTCTCTAAAGGAAACATTCAGACTCTGTACTGCTCACATCTGCCCTCCAGAGCTTTTCCCCCTCACTGCCCCCATCATCCTACCTGGGTAAGGGCAGCATCTTCTGTCTTGTGGTGAGGCTTCTAACACAGAAGTCATTCTCGAGTTCCTTCAGTGTCCCCATCCTGACATTCTGTTCATTATCAGGTCCTGTCCATCCTCCCCCAAGGTGACCTCAGGTTAGTCCCCTGCTCTCCTTCTGTGGCCCCTCCCCTGGCTGCAGCTCCCACTGCCTCACTCCCAGACTCCTGCAGTAGCCCCTGCTGGTATCCCCCCATCCTCGCCTTACTGTGGCTCATCATACTCATAGCAGTTGGATCTTTTTATCATGTCAGCCCATCACCATGCTCCACTTCTTCAAATCCTACCATGGCATCCCCTGAACTTAGGATAAAACCTCAACTCCTACTCCCTCTGAGGTCCTGCCTGCTGGAGCCCCCATGTCTCCTCCTCTGCAGTCTTATCTGAAGCCCACTCTCACTGTGTCTTTTTTTTTTTTTTTTTTTTGAGACAGAGTCTTGCTCTGTTTCGCTCTGTTGCCCGGGCTAGAGTACAATGGCGCAATCTCGGCTCACTGCAACCTCCACTTCCTGGGTTCAAGCAATCTTCCTGTCTCAGCCCCCACTAGTAGCTGGGATTACAGGCAAACGCCACCAAGCCCAGCTAATTTTTTTTTTTTTTTTTTGTATATTTAGTAGAGACAGCGTTTCGCCATGTTGGCCAGGCTGGTCTCGAACTCCTGACCTCAGGTGATCTACCTGCCTCAGCTTCCCAAAGTGCTGGGATTACAGGTGTGAGCCTCTGCACCCAGCTTCACTGTGTCTTTTTCTTTTCTTTTTGAGATGGAGTCTCGCTCTGTCGCCCAGGCTGGAGTGCAGTGGCACAATCCTGGCTCACTGCAACCTCTTTCTCCCTGGTTCAAGCAATCCTCCTGTCTCAGCCTTCTGAGTAGCTGGGGCTACAGGCGCCCGCCACCACGCCCGGCTAATTTTTGTATTTTTAGTTAGAAACGGGGTTTCGCTATGTTGGTCAGGCTGGTCTCGAACTCCTGACCTCAGGTGATCCACCCACCTCGGCCTCCCAGAGTGCTGGGATTACACTGGGATTACAGGTGTGAGCCACCGTGCCCGACCACTGTGTCTTTTTCTTTAACGGATAGGCTGTTCTTTGTGCTTGCTCTCCTTTCATTCTGTGTGGCTGGCCCCTTTTTATTCTCACAGCTCTTCCTACAGGAGGCCATGTTAGCCCACCCTTTTCAAAGCAAGCCCTCTTTTTTATCCTCTCTGTCACCTCAGTTTGCAGTTATATACTTGGGTTTCCATCCTGCCCAGGGCACAATAATTGTCTTTTCCTTGATGATTTTTTTTTTTTTTTTTCTGTCACTGAAACTGCCCCTGGGGCTCTGGGCCTCTGAGATCTTTTAATGGGACTTCTGGTCAGTGCTGGGGGCAATTGGGGCCCTTGCATGCTTCTGTGGTGTTGTGCCAGGTGTGCTTTTTAAAACTGATGGAAAATAAATTCTCATCATGCACTGTGGGTCAGGCAGATCTCTGAAGCCTCTGGCAGAGCCTGCATGAAAGGGGCACCACTGAAAAGCAGTCAGTGGCTCTTTCCTCCTGCTTCCTCCCCTCCCTTCTTTCCCCCCTCCCTCCCCACCTTCATTCCTCCCTCCTTCCCTTCCCTGTAGAGGTTCAACTTTCCACTCACTGGGGAATTTTTGGCTTGTGTGCACAGGAGAGGCACCCGGTACTTTTATGTTGCTTAATGTTTGGCCCAAAGAAAACACCCGCAGCCAGGCCACTCTTTCCTGGCTACAGTTCTCAGGGATGCGGAGGCAGGAACACTTCAGTTCCTGCTCCCCGTGTAGGGCACCCCTGCCCTCCCTTCTTTGGTGCCTGGTGCCCGAGTGTAGATGGCAGGTCCATTCATCACATGTGGATGGAGCACTTGCCCTGTGAGGTGCTGCGCCAGGTCCTGAGGCCGGATGAGAAACATGGACATAGTCCTGACCCTCAGGACCTGCAAAGCCTGGGGAGGAAGTAGGCATCCTACCTTGGAGGCTGAGAAGGGCTGGTGGGCTCTGAAAGCACAGGAAAGGGGCAATCCGGGGTGGCGTCATGGAATGGGTGTGGTCTAAGCCAGGTCTCCAGATAAGGGCATTCTAGGCAGAGGGAACAGCAAGCACAAAGTGAGGAGGCCAGCAGCGCAGAGTGTGCAAAGAAGTGATTGGAAGCTGCTGGACTCTAAAAGTTGAGACTGGTGTGAAGAGAGGTGAGGAGGCTGGGTGGGCCGTGCAGGGAGTCTTGACTGTCCCGAAAGTTGGGAAGCTCCTAAGAGGTAGAAAGCAGAGTTATGGGGTGGTCAAGTTACATAGGTGGGTCATTGGAGGCAGCTTTGAGGACAGATTGAGAAGACAAGCCTGGAGCAGGTGAATAGTTAGGAAGAGATGTGTCGAGCGGCCTGGATTATGGTGATGAAATGGACAGAGAGAAGGGGGGTTAAGAAACAATTCTGAAGCAAATTGGTTTGAGGTTCCTTTGGGGTCCTCCAGAGAGTAGTGGCTAGGAATGGAGACATGGACCACAAGGAGGACAGGCAAGCCCATCCCCTGTCACTCTCCAGAGGGGCCATGAGGAAAGGAAGAGCCGTGGGTGCAGCCTGGTGGGGCATGGCCAGAGCTGCTCACTGTGACCCTCATTCAAGGATGCCCTGAAGGAGTTGCGGAAGAAGGGAGAGCCTGCCGAGAGGGCCAGGGCAGCACAGGAGGGGGACTGAGGAGTCAGGAGCAGGGCTGCCAGTAGCAGTGAGGGGGCTGCAGGCTGCAGGGCTGAAGGGAGCAGGAGCTAGGCCCCAGTGGCAGGTGCACTGCAGGCCTCAGCCTTGTCTCTGCTGACCTCCCTTCTCACACTTCCCCAACCTTGGTGCACTGGACCATGTGCTGCTTTTCCTTTTTTTTTTTTTTTCTTTTTTGTAGAGACAGTATCTCACTATGTTGCCCAGGCTGGTCTCGAACTCCTGGCTTCAAGTGATCCTCCTGTCTCAACCTCCCAAAATGCTGGGATTACAGGCTTGAGCCACCCCACTGACCTGCCTTTTCCTTCTCTTGTCGCCTCTCACATTTCTTGCAGTTTATCTTGTCAGAGTGAGCTGTGCCTTGCTCCAGCCTTGGCCACCTATCGCAGGGGAAAGTAAACCTTGCTGGGAGACCAGGAGGAAGGGCCCAGTCCTGCCTGCTGCCCTCAGAAGCCAGCTCTTCTCAAGCATTCGTAGAGGCACTGAGATTTGGTCAAAGATGATAGAGAAGAGGCCTCCCGGGTTCCCAGGCTCCCTCTCCCGCTTCCACTCCCCTACCTGATCAGACTGGGATGGACTCGGGAGGGATGAAGCCAGATGCTGCAGCAGCACGGTGGGAAGGCTCTGCCCCTCAGAGCAGCCTGGACCATGGAGCAGCTTTCCTAACCCTGGCCTGTTTTCCTTCCTGATTTACCAGAGCAGCCTGGGAGCATCCTGGGCCCCGAATGTGCCTCCTGCAAAAGAGTATTTTCTCCCTACTTCAAAAAGGAGCCGGTGTACCAGCTGCCCTGCGGCCACCTCCTGTGCCGACCCTGCCTGGGTGAGAAGCAACGCTCCCTGCCCATGACGTGCACAGCCTGCCAGCGGCCGGTTGCTAGCCAAGACGTGCTGCGGGTCCACTTCTGAGTGACTGACCTCCACTGGAGGAGACCCATTGCTGGGAGGAGCTGAGGGGGAACAGGAGCAGGGCCACAGCACCCCTGAGGTCTGGCCAGGCCCCAGGCACAGAGCTGCCTGCTCCCTCCCGGGGCTCTTCTTCATCACCTCACGGTATAGCACATTGCTTCTGCGCTGGTGGCAATAGGGCAACAAAGCCATAGGCCAGAGGGCGGGGGGATGTCCCTGCCTCCCTGCCACCCCCCCTGCCTGAGCCCAGGACCCACTGGAGCCAGCCCCACCCTAGGCAGGAAGACCCCTGCTGAGGGCCCCCCCGTGCAGTCCGCATACCCCCCTGTCCAGCAGGGCACTGTGGGTGGCTCACCCTAGATTGTGGCCCAGATCTCAGGAGTCTCTGCCTTCAGGGTCATCCAAAAGTGGACCTTGGGAGCAGTGGGGGTGTCTGTGGAGTGCATGACTCAGCCCCCCGACTCGCAGCCTTAATAAAGCGATGGTTGACGTCTGCTGTGGGTTTCCTCCTGGTGGAGTGCCTGTCTGTGTCACACACTCCTGTCGCCCACCTGCACCCACACAAGTGGAGCTCACAGGGTAGCTGTGTGCAGTCACTGCAGCTTGCCAGGCTGTCATTCCTGTCGATGACCTGAAAGGACACAAACTGGAATTTTCAGGTCTGTCCCCTGCATGGGGACTCAGAACCCAGGTTTGCAGGTGGGCATACGTGGTGGGAGGGTGGAGGGCTCCCTCTGGCCAGTGCCAGCTGTGCTCAGCTGGCTTCAGAAACTGCTCCCTGAGGGGGAGCGCAGCGTTTCCTCATGCAGTTGGTTTCAGGAAAAATACTTGTTTATAGGCTGCATCCTTTTTTCAGCCCAACATTTAGCTTTATGGAGTGCCAAAGGGAAAATATATCCATATCCCTACAACTTGGTACTCTATCAGATTCCAGCCACTAGAAGAACCTCAGTGAGAAAACACACCCGCCTTTCCCTGTTCCCTTCTAAGCACGTTTGGGAAGGAACAGCCTAAAGATGCTTTGTAAAGCTGTATTTTACCCTTGAGCTTAGCCGCGGGTCCCTGTGAACCGGCACATTCCTTTCCTTTAGGCCGTCCAGAGCTCTAGTCCACACCCAATACTTTAGAGATCTGGGTTTGGGGTTAGTTGCTTTTTTTTTTTTTTTTTTAATTGAGACAGGGTTGGTCTCTGTTGCCCAAGCTTGAGGGCAGTGGTGCAATCATAACTCATTGCAGCCTCGAACTCCTGGGCTTAAGGGATCCTTCTACCTCAGCCTCCCAGGTAGCAGGAACTATAGGCATGTGCCACCATGCCCAGCTAATTTTTTTATTTTTTGTAGAGACAAGGTCTTGCTATGTTGTCCAGACTGGTCTCAAACTCCTGGGCTCAAGCGATCCTCCCAAAGTGCTTGGATTGCAGGCATGAGCCACTTCGCCTAGCCAAGCCTGCATTTTTTTGAGTTCCTACATCATTTGTCCACAAAGATGGCTTCAGAGAGGTGGTCACATGCTTTGCTCTGCTTCCTCTTGGCACTGACCTTGATGCAGCCTTCACATGAGATTTGAGGGTCCGCATGGATGGCCTGTGCCGCCCTCGCTGGCGAGGCTCCTGTGTGCCCCTGGCTTTCTGGGTCTGTGCCTCTCCAGAATCTTGTCTTACCCTCCGGTGTGCTTGTGTTCTTAGAAAAGCCCCAGCATGGCCGGGCATGGTGGCTCATGCCTATTATCCCAGCACTTTGGGAGGCCAAGGTGGGTGGATCACTTGAGGTCAAGAGTTCGAGACCAGCCTGGCCAACATGGCAAAACCCCATCTCTACTAAAAATACAAAAATTAGCTGGGCATGGTGGTGTGTGCCTGTAATGCCAGCTACTCAGGAGGCTGAGGCATGAGAATCGCTTGAACCGGGGAGGCAGAGGTTGCAGTGAGCCGAGATCTCACCACTGTACTCCAGCCTGGGCGACGGAGTGAGACTCCCTCTCAAAAAAAGAAAAAAGCCCCAGCATGTAGCAAAAGCATTTCTTGGTGAGTGTGGGGGCTGGTGATTCCCACCTTCACCCTGTCATGGTCTCAGGGAACAGCCTGCTTCCCACCAGCAGCTTGACACCCACAGTGTGCTCTGGCTGCTGGGAGCCCATCTCTCGGAGAAACCCTGTCCACCCAACCCCGAGAGCCCTAGCGTGCAGTCAGCGTCAGCACGGCGCTCCCAGATGAGGGCCGGACTGCCTCCCCTTAAGCAGCTGTGTTGGAGGTACTGCCCAGACCGCTGCAGGTCCCTGGGGATCTGCATTTCTAACAGGCTCCTGCCCCCAAGACTGCTCTGGTGGAAAATCCAGCCTGGGAGCCCCTGGAGTGGCAGGCCCTGTCCTGGGTACAGGTGGAGCCACCCCCAGGAGTTGCGTGTGTTTTTCTTAATTGAAAGACTTCCCCCAAAAGGAAGTGGTCTTTTCACTACCCTTGCCAGAAACATGCTAGGCACCACTGGGCTCTGTTTCTGTCCCCTAGAAAATGGGAATAAAATTTCTTTTGCTGTCACCTGGCTCTGAAGGCAGTTTATTTCTCACTAGAGCCTGGACCCAGGCACAGAACAGCTGTAAACACGCAGAGTTTAAGTCCACGGACGGAGAAGACTCAGGACCTCAGAGCCTTGCTGTGGCCCTGCTGCCCTCCAGAGATCTTCCACCCCCTCCATGACCACAGGGTCTGTGGGCACATGTCTCTTCCCCTTCCTGTGACATTGACTCGGCCCTCTGAACGCAGGTCAGGGCCATGGTACCCCTGCGGTTTGGTGGGGGCAAAGGGGCCCAGGCAGCACCATTCTCCAAATCTCTCCTCCCAAGGTGCAAAGGTCTACCCTGTGGCTCTGCCTTTGGCCATTCTCTGTCCTCACTCGCAGGGGCTTGGCTCTCCAGTCGCCCTTCCAGCCCCTGAGTAGGTGGAAGAGAGGTTGGCATCAGAAAAGAAGTAGATGAACCAAATGGCCAGGAAGAAGAACAGCTGCTCACAGTGTTCCATCTCCCTGCAGCTGGGCTGCGAGGCCCCAGAGCACCTGGGGTGTGGGGCTTAGTAGCTTCTCCCAGCCCCACACCTGCCCTGCTTCCCCCGTAGCTCTCCAGCTTGAGGCCTCCCAGCGGCTGGGCACTTTTCCATTCCCCAGGAGATGGGCCTTCTGACGCTCGGTGGCTGTAAGTAGGTCTGCAGACAAAGAGTCCTGCCCTGGAGGAAACCACTTTGCCTGCCCGGCCTCCTGCCTGTGGTATTGTGACATTGTGAGGCTGGGCTGGCTGCCATTGTGATGGCCACTGGGGTGGGAAGCTGCTTCAGGCTGATTTCTCCCCCAGGACTCCTGTGGGCCTTCGTTGAGCAGGTCCTGGCTTCAGAGCTGGCCCCCCCCGGCTAGGCCTGCTGTCACCTCACCTGGCTGCTCAGCGTGTTTGCCAGTGCAGGCTCTTTCCTTCCAGTTCTGGATTGGAAGGGGCAGGGCTGGGTTGTGAATTAGTGAAAACCGCACTGTCCAGTAGAGTAGCCACTAGCCACAGTGGCTATTTAATTAAAAGTAAATGAATTTTTAAACTCGGTTCATTACTCACACCACCTACATTTAAAGTGCTTGATAGTCACATGGGGTTAGTGGCTACTGGGTTTCGGCCATAATCCCAAAAGACACAGTCCCAAAGGCCATAACACCGAATGTTGAAATCCCTAAAGATCAAAATCCCTGAAGTCTAAAATCCCTGATGTCTAATTGAATCCCCAAACCATAAGTGACAGATTTGAAATTAGGTACAATTAAGTCTTCTTAAATTTGGACTTTTGAGATTGTGATTTTTAGGATTTCAGACTTCAGGGATTTTGATCTTTCAGGATTTCAACATTTAGGATTATGGTGATGGGGATCCTGTTTTGGGAGTTATGATCAGCACAGGTGGGTCCTATATTGGACAGCACAGATAGAGACCATTTCCACCATCACCGAAAGTTCTCCTGGACAGTGCTGGGCCAAAATAAGAGCTTGTCGCCCTTCCCTCTTATGAACTGTCACCTGGGAGAGGAGGAAAGCCCCCCCCCCCATGGGGGCAGGAGAGCAAAACAATGGTGTACAAAATCAGACAGGCTTGAACCCCACCTGCCTTCCTCCCCCGCTGGGCAGAAGCGGTGCACCCAGGCTCCACCTGGCTGTAATGCACTCCCTCCCTTGCAGAGAGGTGCCTGAAATGGCTCTGTCTGTGCCAAGAGGGGTGACAAGATCTCCAGAGTGGCACAGGACTAAGGTGAGGACAAAGGAGGAAGACTTGGGAGGGTCAAGTTTATTCCCTCCGGGTTTTCACCAATAATAGGATAACGCTACCCTTAACCCGGCTATCAAGTGAGCACCACACAAACATCTTGATGTTTTCCCTTTCAATGTTTTTCTGTAAAGAAAAAAATATTTCTAGGTATATAGTGTGTGGGTCTGTTGCCTGCTATTTCTAACACTATCTCATGGACATTTGCCTTTGTCGTTAGATACTCTTCTTGTAAAGCTCATTTGTAGGCCGGGCACGGTGGTTTATGCCTGTAATCCCAGCACTTTGGGAGGCCGAGGTAGGTGGATCACCTGAGGTCGAGAGTTTGAGACCTGGCCAACATGGTGAAACCCTGTCTCTACTAAAAAGACAAAAAATTAGCCGGGTGTGGTGGCGCACGTCTGTAATCCCAGCTACTCAGGAGGCTGAGGCAGGAGAATCGCTTGAACCCGGGAGGCAGAGGTTCAAGTGATCTCACTAGCCAGGATCGCACCACTGCACTCCAGCCTGGGCAACAAGAGCAAAACTCCATCTCAAAAAAAAATAAAAATAAAGCTCATTTGTAAGAATAAGTCAAGGTAGCCAGGAAAACTCTGAAAAAGAACAGTTTGGTTTGTGGGTGGGGAGAACTAACCCACGAATACACAGGCAGATGAACAGAACAGAATGAAAAACCCATAGGCAGGCCCAACTACACATGGAAATTTTGTGTACTGCAAGGCAGGAATGGTGGAAAACTGACCTTTCCACAGGTGGCGCTGCAGTCACTGGGCGAATGAAACCATGGAAGAACTAGAGATAAATGGAAAACGAGAGAACTCCTTCGCAACCTGGGAGTGAGGAAAACTGTCCTAATTCAAAATCCAGGCCAGATGCGGTGGCTCACGCCTGTAATCCCAGCACTTTGGGTGGCCAAGGTGGGCGGATCACCTGAGGTCAGGAGTTAGAGACCACCTTGGCCAACATGGTGAAACCCCGTCTCTACTAAAAATACAAAAATTAGCCGGCGTCGTGGCGGGTGCCTGTAATCCCAGCTACTCAGGAGGCTGACGTGGGAGAATCACTTGAACCCAGGAGGCAGAGGTTGCAGGGAGCCGAGATGGCACCACTGTACTCCAGCCTGGGCGACAGAGCAAAACTCCATCTAAAACAAACAAACAAAAAAATTCAGATTCAGTAAGGAAAAAGACTGATAGATTTGACTACCTTAAGAAACAAAATAGAACAAACAAAAAAAACAGCCGGGCGTGGTGGCTCACGCCTGTACTTCCAACTCTTTGGGAGGCCAAGGAGGGAGAATCATTTGAGCCCAGGAGTTTGAGACCAGCCTGGGCAACACAGGGAGACCCTGTCTCTAAAAAAAATACAAAAATTAGCCAGGCATGGTGGTGCATGCCTGTAGTCCCAGCTACTCAGAAGGCCAAGGCAAGAGAATCACTTGAGCTTGGGAAGCAGAGGTTGCAGTGAGCCGAGATCGAGCCACTGTAATCCCAGCACTTTGGGAGGCCAAGGTGGGCGGATCACCTGAGGTCAGGAGTTTGAGACCAGCCTGGCAACATGATGAAACCCTGTCTCTACCTGTGCGACAGAGGGAGACCCTGTCTCAAAACAAACCAAAAACCCTCTTACATGGCAAAATTCATTAGCAAGTAAAAACGAAAATTACAAGCTTGGAAAATATATTTGCAACCTGTATTAAATGGTTAATACCCATAACATATAGCTTCTAAAAATAACAGATTCACAAAGAAATACAAATGGCTTTTAAACATGTAAACAATGTTCAGCCTCACTCATAATATGATGAAATAAAGAGGACCATGAAAAACTACTTCTTGCTTAGCAGATTGGCAAAAATCTCCATGTTTGGTCACAATCTGTAGGTGAGACTTCAGGTAAACAGGAGCTGTCATATACTAATGCTCAGAATACAAAGGGTACAATCTTTGGCGGGGAATGTGGCAATATCTGGCTGAGTCACGTATGCATGTACCCTTCTACCCAGCCATCCTACATCTAGGATTCTAGTCCAAAGATCCCCTGAAAAAATATGAAAAGAATTCCAGCCCCACCAGCAGGCAGCCTGGGCACCCAGAGCCAATCTTTGCAGGGCTGAGGAGCCATGTCACCCTCTGTGGAGGGGCCAGCTGTGTCCAGCCTATGGGCCCAGAAGCAAGTGCTTTACACATGCATGATTTTATCAAGGAGATTATGGAGACCTTGAAGGCCATCCATGCATGTTAAAAACCTTTGCATTCAAAAGCTTTAATAAAAGTTTATATATTGAATAAACAATGTCCTAGGCATTGCACTAAATGCCTATGTATTATCTTATTTAATCCCCACTTGGAGTTAGGATGAAACAGAGGCTCAGACCACAAAGAGCCCCTCTGATTGCCTACACGACCTACAGAAATGTCTTCACTTGATTTCAAATCCACTGTGCAATCCAGAACCAGAGGCACAACAGAGTCTAATTATGGAATAACAACCTCATGACCAGGCTCCAGCACAGCCTTTGAAATTCAGTATTACACCTCTAGGCACAAAAATAAAAGATGCTTCCCCCATAAAGGCTCAGCGGAGTTAGTCTCATGTAAATAGATGAATCTCCTGGTTGAAATGTGAATGGAAAAGTACTCGTCGTGTGCAGTTCCTGGGAGAGAAGGGTGTGGGGAGGAGGACGCACAGACGGGCTCAAGAACGGCCCTATCTACGACCCAGGGCTCTGGGTATTAGGATCCTACCGAAGTGCACTGCCTCTCTCCAGAGCCCCCAGTGTGGGATACACGTGGCCAAAGAAGATCCAATTTGAAAGAGAAACTAAACTGGGTGTTGGAAAACCTTGTGAGAGTCGGTAACCAAAGGAGGCCTGCGTGGTCCTGGTGGAGTGGGAAGGTGTGAAGGGCAGACAGTGGAACAGGCCCAGGAAGGTCAGTAAGCAGAGGCGGGAGTTGGGAGCAAAGCTGGGCTGAGGCCTACAATGTCCTCTAAACTGCTGGAGAGAACTGGGCTTGAAAAGGGAGGGGACAGGGAATCAGCATGGGGAGACAGAGGCACAGGCTGGCCTCCCCCTCCCATGATTCTTGATACCCTTCCCTTGGGCCCAGGGCCCAGACACCAGCTCTGACTCAGCGGATGAAATGCAACCCCATGGCTCATTAATTAGGAAGCCTGTAATTAGCCTGTCTCAGAAACCAGGAGCCTCCAGAGAGAGCCCCTCTCACCTGCCTTCCTCCCTTCCACCCAAAGGATGACATCAAGCTGGGGAGGTCCGGCCTCTGGGACTGAGGAGGGGAAAGTGAAGTGTGAGCAATAGGGGGAATGAGATACCAGGCACGCGTGTCTGCATGCGACAGCCTCGGCGAATTGACCTTCAATCATGAGATGATGGAAATGATGCGAAGTGGCCTAAACCCTAAATGTTTCCTCTACTGAAGAAACCCAGGGACAGGCTTGGGCGTGGCCCAGGTGGGTCTACAACACCTGCAAAGCTGCGAGCCCCTGCAACTCAGTCTGAGAGTGAAACCGCTTCCGTGGCCAGAATGTGGTTGGCACTGGGTGTGTGGTTGGCACTGTGGAGTGACTCGGCAGTGCTGCTTAGACGGCTGCTTTTAGCTGCCTCCCTCACGGCTTCCCTGCAGCTGCTTGTCCACCTTTCTCTTCAACCTTGGATTTTTCCACCTTGAAAAAATCTGTTCCAAAGCTTAGTCTCCTTTCCTCCTGGCTTCATGCCACTGATTATTTTAAATTATTGGCTGCCAATTATTTGGCCCACTTTCCCAGCCAAAAGTGGGCTCTGTTCCTTCTCTTGACCTTGGATAGGCTTGTGGCTGCTTCAGCCTATAAAGCGTGGCAACACTGACCTTCTGTGATTTCTGAGGCTAACATAAAATGCCATGTCACTCTGCCCTTGTTTTCTGGAGATTCACTCTTCATCGAAGCCCTGAGCTGCCATTCAATGGCTTCAAGAGTGAATCCAGGCTGGGCGCGGTGGCTCACGCCTGTAATCCCAACGCTTTGGGAGGCCAAGATGGGTGGATCACCTGAGGTCAGGAGTTCGAGACCAGCCTATCCAACATGGTGAAACCCCAAGTCTACTAAAAATACAAAAATTAGCTGGGTGAGGTGGCGGGTGCCTAATTCCAGCTACTCAGTAGGCCGAGGCAGGAGAATTGCTTGAACCTGGGAGGTGGTGGTTGCAGTGAGCTGAGATCTTGCCACTGCACTCCAGCAAGACCCTGTCTCAAAAAAAAAAAAAAAAAAAAAAAAAAGGTTGAATCCAACTCACAGGAAAGCAGGCAGTCCAGGCAACAGCACTGCAACTGAGCTGAGCCTTTGGGCAACTCCCGCCCAAGTGCCCAGGCATGTGAATGAAGAAGGCCCAGGTGATTTCAGCTTGTAGCCCGCCCCTCCTTCCTGTGGAGGCCCCAGACATTGTGGAACAGATAAAAGGTGTTCACTGTGACCGTCAGAACCTGTGAGCATCATAAAATGGCGGTGGGTTGATACCACTGCATGTTGAGCGGTTTGTTACACAGCAACAGTAACGGAAACAACCACAAAATCCTAGATGATTGCTACAGCGGGGCTAGGGAAGGACGGAGAAACCAGGAGGCAAAGCCGGGATCCTCCTTAGCCAAGAAGGACTGCAAATGCCCCTGTGCTGATAATTCGTGCCCTTCACTGCTGCTGGGCCTGGGCAGGCAGAGGACACACCAACTCGACTGGTCATTTACCCAAGACCCAGGGTTGGGTCCATGGCGGGTCCGGGGGATGTAGTGACCGAAAGGACCACTCTCTAGTAGGGCAGAAAGACAGGGAAACACGTGAATAAAGCATGTCTAGGGCTCCACATTGACCTGAAGCGGGAGGAGGAGGTTGGTTTAGCTAAGGTTAGGGGTAGGGGCAGGAAAGATGAAACTCAGGTTCTGATATCAGAAAATATCTCAGTGGGCCGGGTGTGGTAGCTCATGCCTGTAATCCCAGCACTTTGGGAGGCCAAAGTGAGAGGATCGTTCGAGCCCAGGAGTTCAAGACCAGCCTGGGTAACGTAATTAGCTGGGCATGGTGGCACACGTCTGTAGTCCCAGCTACTCAGGAGGCTGAGATGGGAGGATCGCTTGAGCCCAGGAGGTGAAGGCTGCAGCGAGCTGTGTTTGTGCCACTGCCCCCCAGCCTGGGCAATAGAGTGAGACCCTCTCTAAAAGAAAAGAAAAGATCTCAGTGGATTTGTGGGGGTGAGGGCTGCTTAGCTTTACAGCATTTATTTCCCTTCCTACTATCATCCTGAGATCCTCTCAAGGCACTACCCTTTCTCCATTGCATTCACTCTGAAGGAGCTTTATTCAGACACTTGAGGATGGTCATCATCCAACCTAATCCAAAAAGCCAGCCCCTCCCTGGAGTAGGCACCTGAGCAGAGGGATCAAGAGGAAGGCACTGGAGTCGCCTACAGCAGACCCTGTGGATGCCACTCCCAGGCTCCGTTCTCTTGACCCCTGGGCGTGTCCGTCCCTCAGATGCCGCACATTGGGGTCAGTGGTTTGCAGCTGGCCTTCCTCTGGACGCGTGCCTTCAGCCAGTGGTAGCCACTTCACCAAGAGAGACTCCCTCCCTGCAGCCCCCTTAGTCAATGACTAATACACAAATATTAAAAACTTGACCCTCAGGTCAGGCACCATGGCTGTAATCCCAGCGCTTTGGGAGGCCGAGGTGGGCAGATCACCTGAGGTTGGGAGTTTGAGACCAGCTTGACCAACATGGAGAAAAACCATCTCTACTAATAAAGTACAAAAAAACTAGCCGGGCATGGTGGTGCATCCCTGTAATCCCAGCTACTCGGGAAGCTAAGGCAGGAGAATCACTTGAACCTGGGAGGCGGAGGTTGCAGTGAGCCAATATCGCGCCATTGCACTCCAGCCTGGGCAACAAGAGCGAAACTCCGTCTCAAAAAAAGAAAAAAAATTAGCTTGTGTTGTGGCACACACCTATGTTCCCAGCTACTTGGGAGGCTGAGGCAGGTGGATCACTTGAGCCCAGGAAGGAGGTCAAGGCTGCAGTGAGCTGTGATTGCCCCACTGTGCTCCAGCCTAGGTGACAAAGCCAGATCCTGCCTCAAAAAAGAAAAAAGAAAAGACCTGGCGCAGTGGCTCACACCTGTAATCCCAGCACTTTGGGAGCCTGAGGTGGGCAGATCACCTGAGGTCAGGAGTTCAAGACCAGCCTGGCCAACTTGGTAAAACCCCATCTCTATTGAAAATACAAAAATTAGCCTGGTGTGGTGATGCGTGCCTGCAATCCCAGCTACTTGGGAGGCTGAGGCAGGAGAATCGCTTGAACACAGAGGCAGAGGTTGCAGTGAGCCAAGACCATGCCATTGCACTCCAGCCTGGGCAACAGATCGAAACTCTGTCTCAAAAAAGAAAAGAAAAGAAAAAAACCCATCAAAAACACTAAACATATTTTGTGATATATTTGTTTGTTTGTTTTTGAGACAGGGTTTCACTCCCGTTGCCCAGACTGGAGTGCAGTGGTGTGATCTTGGCTCACTGCAACCTCTGTTTCCTGGGCTCAAGCAATTCTCCTCTCTCAGCCTCCCAAATACCTGGGACTACAGGGATCTGGCTAATTTTTTTATTTATTCATTTTTTTTGAGATGGAGTCTCGCTCTGTCACCTAGGCTGGAGTACAGTGGCACGATCTCAGCTCACTGGAACCTTCACCTCCTTCTCCTGCTTCAGCCTCCCAAGTAGCTGAGACTACAGGTGTGTGCCACCATGCCTGGCTAATTTTTTGTACTTTCAGTAGAGACGGGGTTTCAGCATGTTAGCCAGGATGGTCTGGATCTCCTGACCTCATGATCCGCCTGCCTCGGCCTCCCAAAGTGCTGGGATTACAGACGTGAGTCCTGGTGCCCGGCCTAATTTTTATATTTTTAGTAGAGATGGGGTTTCGCCATGTTGGCCAGGCTGGTCTTGAACTCCTGAACCCAGGTGATCTGCCCGTGTCAGCCTCCCTAAGTGCTGGGATTACAAGTGTGAGCCCATGCCTTCATGATATTGTTATGTGGCTTATAATGTACATGCCAAGAACACATTATCAGCATACAGTAAACATTAGCTATTCTACATTATCCCTATTTATACAGTTTTCCTCTTTAGTGCAGGGAAATGAATAGGTCTTGGAAAATGAGAAGGATTTTGCTAAATTTAGCCTGGGGGCACCTAATGGAGGCCGGTTCCAAATATAGTCTTCCCCCTGCAGTAAATCTGCACAGCCCCTGGGTTTTGTATGCAGTTATTGATCTGGGGAATTTTTTTTTTATTTTTCCATCAGGAGGTACAGACTATCTGGATGTCAAAGGAAGGGTGAGTGGAGTTTTAATCAATATTAATAATAACAGCAATGAGTACTGAGAAGTCTTAAAAACAAGGTGAAACTAAAACATTAACTACAATAAAATATATGATTACAGTAAAGGAATCCTTTTCATTTTATATTTTATTTTATTATTTTTGGAGTCAGAATCCTGCTCTGTCACCCAGGTTGGAGTACAGTAGGGCAATCTTGATTCACTGCAACCTCCACCTCCTGGGTTCAAGCGATTCTCCTGCCTCAGCCTCCTCAGTAGCTGGGACTATAGGCACGCACGACTACACCCGGCTAGTTTTTGTATTTTTAGTAGAGACAGGGTTTCGTCATGTTGGCCAGGCTGGTCTCGAACTCCTGGCCTCAAGTGATCCACCTGCCTCGGCCTGCCAAAGTATTGGGATTACAGGCGTGAGCCACCGCACTGGGCAAGAAATCCTTTTTAAAACATTCTAAGGAACCCAGCTTGTTTGGAGGAGAATAAAGATATGGATTAATCTTAAATATTGCTTAAACTACTGAAATAATAGAAATAAGATTTAAAGATAATCCATTTTAAGACAAGAAAGAAGGAAAAAGAAGTGAAAGGGTGTCATAGTAAATGGAAAACAGAAGCAATGAAACCAGAAGTTCGAGACCAGCCTGGGCAACATATGAGACCATGTCTCTATAAAACATTTTTTTAAAAATTAGCTGGTGGCAGGCTGGGCGCGGTAGCTCACGCCTATAATCCCAGCACTTTGGGAGGCCGAGACAGGCGGATCACGAGGTCAGAAGATTGAGACCATCCTGGCTAACACAATGAAACCCTGTCTCTACTAAAAATACAAAAAATTAGCCAGGCATGGTGGCCGGCGCCTGTAGTCCCAGCTACTCAGGAGGCTGAGGCAGGAGAATGGCATGAACCCGGGAGGCAGAGCTTGCAGTGAGCCAAGATGGCACCACTGCACTCCAGCCTGGGTGATAGAGAGCGAGACTCCATCTCAAAAAAAAAAAAAAAAATTAGCTGGTGGCCGGGGGCGGTGGCTCATGTACTTTGGGAAGCTGAGGTGGGCGGATCACAAGGTCAGGAGTTCAAGACCAGCTTGGCCAATATGGAGAAACCCCGTCTTTACTGAAACTACAAAAATTAGCCAGGCGTGGTGGTAGGCGCCTGTAGTCCCAGCTACTTGGGAGGCTGAGGCAGGAGAATTGCTTTAACCTGGGAGGCGGAGGTTGCAGTGAGCCAAGATTGCGCCACTGCACTCCAGCCTGGGCAACAGAGCGAGACTCTGTCTCAAAAAAAAAAAAAAAAAAAAAAAAAAACTGGCATGGGCCAGGCACGGTAGCTCATGCCTGTAATCCCAGCACTTAGGGAGGCTGAGGCGGGTAGATCACCTGACGTCAGGAGTTCAGCCTGACCAATATGGAGAAACCCTGTCTCTACTAAAAATACAAAATTAGCCAGGTGTGGTGGCACATGCCTGTAATCCCAGCTACTCGGGAGGCTGAGGCAGGAGAATCGCTTGAACCCGGGAGGCAGAGGTTGCAGTGAGCCGAGATCGTGCCATTGCACTCAAGCCTGGGCAACAAGAGAAAAGTCTGTCTCAAAAAAAAAAAAAAAAATTAGCTGGCATGGTGGGTTGGGCTTGTAGTCCCAGCTACTTGGGAATCTGAGGTAGGAGGATAGTTTGATGACCGCGCCACTGCACTCCAGCCTGAGTGACAGAGCTAGACCGTGTCTCCACAATAACAAAAAGAAAACAGAAGCTAAATGTTTGCAAATGAATCCAAGTAGACGGGCAGCCACCATCAATGTTAACAGATTCAATT